>NC_000005.10:96170413-96473443 GCF_000001405.40 Homo sapiens | reverse complement strand
CTGCTTCCAATTTCTTGTTATGTAATGTGATATAATTTATTGTCAGATTTCTGTTATCTGCCATCCAGTGCAATTCTGAGCCCCTCAGGCAATCTGATTAGGAGCTCCTTTTATTTTTCTCACAGTATCTTTTACTTCCCCTGTGAAAACACGTTATCACTCAGTTGTAATTTCCTGTTTACTCATCTGTATTGTCACCCTCAGTTGTAAGATCCATGAGGACAGTGACTGGAGTGGGTGTCCTCCAAAAAGACATGTTCCCATCCTAACCCCTGGTACCTCTGAATGTGACCTTATTAGGAAATAGAGTCTTTGCAGATGTAATCAAGTTAAGATAAAGTAATACTCAATTAGGGTGGCCCCTAGTCCAGTGTGTCTGTACAAGAGAAAGGAGAGGGAAACTGGACACAGAGACCCATACAGGGAAGGCCATGTGGCTATGGGAGCAGAGATTGGAGTTATGCTTCCACAAGCCAAGGAATGCTTCGGGCTGCTATGTACTGAAAAAGGCAAGGAAGCCTTCTCTCCTAGAGGGAGTATGATACTGCCAACACTTGATATCAGACTTCTAGCCTCAAGAACCAGGACAGTATATACTTCTATTGTTCTAAGTCAGACCCACTTGGTAATTAGATTTGGAATCTAAAATAGTGATCATGCCTACATTGTTTAGAATTGTATCATACCTTCTTACATTAGAGGTACCAACCTTAGTATTAATATTTTCCTCAGAGCAAGTCAGACCTAAAGCCATTACATGGGGTAGATCAGAGCTAGAAAATATATTGAGCCTGCTTTGTGAGGAAACAATTGGCTGCCTTCTTGCTCTGTCTCCTCACAATGAGGCTGGCTTATCCAAGGAGGGAAAATACACTGTATCTTGCTTGCCTAGAGTGTTGTGTTGCAAAGAATTCTGAAACAACTTTTGAGTCATTTATTCCATTTATTCAACAATTATTTATTGAGTGCCTACAATGTGATATTCAAGGTACTATTCTAGGTCCTGGGAATATAGCAACACACACAAGAGCAAAATCAGTTAACCAATCAATCAATACTTGCCCCCCAAAGAGCTGACACTGGAAAGAATGGTGTGATGGATTATAGATGTCTTCCATAAACATGGGAGGGAGGAATTGAGGCATCTTACCATGTATTTGCCATCCTTCCAGATTAAATCTAGTCATAGCATCAGATTTTCAGGCAGTTCCACAATTGTGTGTATCTTATCTTTGGAGCTCATGTAAACAATTTGCTCCACTCACCTCTGCTGAAAGGTCTTTCTACTTTTGATATTGAAAAAGCACAGGAGTTGTAGACCCCAATTAGAGGAGTTGGGCTGAGTGTATTATTGCTGTACCAAATACTGCTGAAGTCCAGGTAGAGTTAAGGACATTCTTCTGCCTAAATCAGAGTTGCAAATTCAGAGTATACAGCCGTGAAGCAAATAATTTTATTTTGCATTAGAGAATAAAAGCTAGAAGTTGGAAGATGTACATAACTCTAAAATAATAGCTGTGGATAGTTGTCCAGATAAAGGCTGGCATGAGCCTGAATGTGTCTTTAGCTGATCTTCTGAGAAATGGTAGAAAAAAAATGTAAGCTAAATTTAAAAGCTTATTCAGTCCAATACGCATATGCAAATCACACACACACACACACACACACACACACACACAGACTCCATTTGAAAGAATAACTTCTTAATAATTAAAAGGTAATTAAACAGGCAAAAGACAGGATAATTGAGATCTTGTTTTTGTTTGAAATAAGACCAAGATCTTGAATGATTTTCTGTGTGTCACTTAAAGTATTCTTTTGATCTCAACCAGTTTTAAAATTTGGTAGGAGTCAGGAATGGACTGGCAACAAATGTAGTGCAGCAAACCGGCTTTCCAGATTAATAAAGTTTTCAGTGTCTGTGACAACTCTAAATTCTTCAGTTTGTGTAGCAGTCGTTTTTACATAAAAATGCGAGGCATCTCAATTCATGTTATGCAAACTCCTCTGATCACACCTGCATGAATATTTTAGCTAGTTCAAGCAAAATTAATTTTTTAAATTGCAATTCAATTGTAAAAGGATGAGAGAGAATGTAATTTTAGCTGAAGATTGAGGAAATCCAGGAGTATTATGGTAATCTCAGTGGGGCCACTTAGGTTTATGGTAAGGTATGGCTTCAGTGTGAATTTTCTGGTAAACATTTTGGTAAATATTTTATTCTCTGTCACCTGATATCTGAAGAATATGAGTCTGGGAGCTATTGATTCAATGTTTGGAAATTATAGAACTGTGCAAATTTGACCTGTCTTCAATCTGGTTTGTGACTATCAGTCAAATTGCTTGGAGCTATTGTGATCTACACAATTACAAAGATCTCCAAGTCTGTTTAATCTGGCTGCAGGACTATTGTAAGGAATGTCCTATCTCCATGACCTCAAAGCCCTTCTCAACTCTGGAATGTGATTTTGTGAGAAGAGGCCCTAAGGTCATTTTTATCAGTTTCACTGAGCACTGAATCTCAACAATTTGCAACATCTGCGTATATTAGATTTATAGCTATAGTACTTAAAAATATTATGTACTATTATGTACTTTCCTTTTGGTCCTGTACACCAGTGACTCTTAAGGTAAGCTGGAGGTCCTAAGCAGACTACTAATATAGTTCACAACTCTCTCAAAAGGTAAGTCTCTGTAAAAGATATGCAAATCTATAAATTTTTACTTTTACATAGAATCAAAGGCTATTTATGACTAAATTAATGGGTAAGCTATTAGAGTTATTCACATATGCCATTCCTAAAATAAATTAGCACATTAACTAAGCATACCAAGGACTTAATTAAATTCAGTATTCTACTTTGAAGACCAGTTGACACACAGTGCTCTGAAATGTTTCAGGCATATTCATAATTTGAATACCGGAAATCTGGTATTGATACAGCACCAGTGTTGTCTTAGAATATATGTGATTTTCAGATGCTGGTCTTGTTTCCTCTCCATTCTAACATATTATTATTTTAGCTTTACCATTATCTGTTTATTTATTGTGGTAGTTTGGTTACTGCTATAGTGCATGATGATCCATATGTGCATTGGCAATATTGTTGGCCATAATTCCATAATTTTTGTAATGACTAACCTTTATATATTTTTCGATATAAAAGACATATAACTGTGGTTTCAATATTAGTCATCCATTCTACCATTTAAAAACTCAGAGTTTTCTGTGCGTGTGTGTGTGTGTGTGTGTGTGAGCATTTATTTATTAAGGATAGTTTTTTTCGTTTTCACCTAGTTAATTTTTCATCTGGGAAGTAGAAAATGAGTGGGAAAGTTGAGCCCGGGATCTTGGGTCCTGCCAAAGAGGACCACACTAAAAAAGTCTGAAATATAATGAAATAGAACAAAGTAGATATAACATTAATTTATTTTTAAAATGTAATGCTTACATTTTGCATTTTAATTTACATCATGTTTATAATAATTTTAGTGTTCCTTAAGCATGTATCTTCCTTGGACAATTTATACAAACATTATATATATGTGTGTGTATATATATATTATATATATATATACACACACATATATATATATTTCTCTCTCTCTCTGTCTTTCTCCCTCTGCCTCTCTCTCCCTCTCTCTCTCTTCTCCCTTTCTATTATGCATGGGATGCTTCCTTACAGAGATACTTTTCAAAAGACCACATTGTATCATCCAACTAGAAAACAGTATTTGATGTAAATCATATGCATATATGCATATACGTATGTGTGCATTATCTGTACATCATTTTGACAGTTCTCTTTCAATGCATTCTGTTTTCTCCATTGGTAAGAGAAAAGGGGAATTCTCATGTCAGTTTGTAATTGACCCCTCAGAGTCAACAACCTGAGGAATAATCCAACAGGAATAAAATAATCAAGTTTTCTAAAAATGCAAACTATTGGTTTCTAATCTTTAAAAATTCCTAGCCAATAGGAAAAAAAATCACGTTGGCAGTCAAATTCCTATAGGAGAAAGGAGACCACTTCATATTTTATTCTTCAGTCAAGAGCCTGATCTTTTCACAAACCATCCCACTGAACAAAACATAATCATATTCAATGTATTGTGACAGGTGTTTTTGAACATCTAGACTCTCAAATTAGAGTTGTATAGGCTACATGATGATATTGAGAACAAACACTTGCTCTTGTGGGAGTGCGTTTAATCACGCTGATGTACTTTACCATCTATTTAAAAATGTGAAATCACTCCGTGGTTGAGTTGCCACAGGAATTACTTTTAGACACAATACTCAATACTCGTGAATGAATCATAGCTATGGTCTCCCTGTCACCTGCTGTCTATTTCAGTATTGGAGCAAGACATAGAGACAGTGTTCTTCCATAATAGTTATAACCATTAAATGTGTTTTTAGCCAGGAATCAGTTTATTTAAGTCAGTAACTGGGCCAGGACAAAATTTAAGTTTATGCGTAAGTCAAGCACATATTATTTTTAGTTTAACTAAAGCTCAAAGGCAACTATTTTAGACGAGATCCCCTTTATCTTTTATTTTCCCCAACTAGCTGTGGAAGGCCAGTGGAAAGATACATTTTTCTACCTTTTCTCTCCATGTTGTCAGACAGAAGGGGAAGATGTGTTGGTTTGAGCAGCTTAATAACATGCCCAAGAGCCACTGAATGCACAAACACAACTGCTCCTCTTACATTCTCACTCCTAATTTTCTTTATGATCTGCCTCAAAAACTACATATTCAAATTAGCTAAAACCAACTTTAATTGTACTTTTGGTTTTGAAATCTTCAGCATTTTTATCTGACATACTGCTCTGTAACTGATGTAAAATTGTTTTATGAATATGGTGATTTATGGCTCTACCTGGGTTATAATCTTTGCATATTTGTAGCCATTACAATGGGATTGAATGAGATAGACACACCTAAGGCTAACGCTTCTTGGGCTGTGGTCCCACTAACATTCATCAGGGACCTACCATGGTGTATAGGTTATATCATTTAAATTGCACACCTGAATTTTTTTGGTACTTTTAAAAAATTTCCGTAGCTTTGGAGGCACAAGTGGTTTTTGGTTACATGGATGAATTGTATAGTGGTGAAGTCTGAGATTTTAGCGCACCTGTCACCCAAGTAGTATACATTGTACCTCATGTGCCATTTTTTTATTCTCACTCCTCTCCACACTCCCCATTTCTGAATCTCCAGTGTCCATTATACCACTCCGAATGCCTTTGTGTACCCATAGCTCAGCTCTTACTTATAAATAAGAACATACAGCATTTGGTTTTTCATTCTTGAGTTACTTCACTTAGCCATAAAATAATGTCTTTTGCAGCAACTTGTATAGTGCTGGAGGCTTTTTTTGGCTGAGTAGTATTCCATGGTGCATATATATACCAACTTTTCTCTATCCACTCATCAGTTGATGCGCGCTTAGGTTGGTTCCGTATCTTTGCAATTGTGAATTGTGCTACAATAAACATAGGCATGTAGGTGCCTTTTTAATAGAATGACTTTTTTTCCTTTGGGTAGATACCCAGTAGTGAGATTGCTGGATCGAACAGTAGATCTACTTTTAGTTCCTTGAGAAATCTCCGTATTGTTTTTTTATAGAGGTTGTACTAATTTACATCCCCACTAGCAGTGCATTTGTGTTCCTTCTTGTTACCACATCCACGCCAACAGCTATTGTTTTTTTTTACTTTTTAATAATGACCATTCTGACTTGAGTAAGGGCACACAGATTTTTTAAAAAGATACTATCACGTATTACCAAGGAGGACATGGAGGTTCAGACATCAAGTCCAGAATCAAATCCAGGGTACCATGCTGCAATTGGATGGATGGACTTTTAAATAAATGATACCAAGAAAACTGGGAAGCCATTTGGAAAAATATGAAATTAGATCCCTACATAAGAAGGAACTCCAAGAGGATTAGGGATCAAAATGTAAAAACTAAAACCATACAAAGACTAGAAGAAAAACATGGGAAATTTTCTTTTTAATCTCAGTATAGGGGAAGTCTTTCTAACTTATTCAAAATACAGAAGGAATAAAAGAAACAATTAAAAAAACTTGATAGCAACAATAACAAAGAATATTGCATGGCAAAAACCACATCAAAGTCAAAAGACAACTTATATACTAATAGAGTATATTTTCAACATATATCACAAACCAAGGACTAACATCCCTAATGTACAAAGAACTCTTAAAACTTGAGGGACAAAGGGGCAAAACCAATAGAAAATGAGGAAAAGACAGGGAAGACAATTTACAGAAAAAAAATGGTATGAAAATAGCTCTTGTGCAAATAAAAAGATGTTCAAAGTCACTAATAATTAGATAAATAAATATTAAAACATTGAGAATACATTTCTTGCCAATCTGATCAACACTTGTTAAAATGTATGACAACACATTCTTTTGCAAAGATGTAGGGAAAAAGTATTATAAATTGTTGGTGCAAATGCAAACTGGTACAACCATTCTAAGAGAAGTTGATCATTTCTAGCAAAGCTGTATAGGCACTTACCTTTTGATCAGGCAATCCCAACTCTAGAAATCTATACCTCCAGCAATACAAATACACATTCACAAGGTTATTCATTATTCCATTGCATGCATTGCAAAATATTAGAGGTATTATAAGTTTCTACATAAAGAAGAGTAGTTGGATAAATTATGGAGTACTATACAGCAGTAATACAATTAATGAGGAAGATATTTATGAATTGATAGAAAGTGGTTTCCAGGATACCATTAAGTATATAAAAAGCAAAGTATGAAAGCATATCTATGGTAAGCTATCTTAGTTTGTCTGCCTGTTTATGGAAAAAAAAACCCCACACAAACACAAAAAACAACCCAGGAAGAATAAAAGAGAAAATAATGACTACAAAGTGTGGGTGGGAATAGGGTGGCAAGCACGAGGGACCGAGGCAGGGCAGAAGGTGACTAGTGGCTCTGCTCTGAGTGTGCTCTTTCATACAGTTCTGACTTGTAGAACCATGGTCATGTTTCACACTCATTTTATTTCAAAATCTTATTGTACTTCCAGTTTTGAAAAATTAAATTCATCTCAGATGTGGAAGCAACCCCAAATGGAATAAAAACGTGAACAAATATACCTAACTAAAATACTAATCAACAATATAATCCCAGTCAAGGAGGTGGGAGGGGAGAGAAGGACAAAGCTAAGTAACTTTGTAAAATAATTAATAACTCTAAGGCTAAGGACAAAATTAACTATACAGATAGTACTCTAGTTAGTGAATTTATTTTTCACTGTTACATGCGTTAGAAATTCTAAAATTACTTTATGTGTACTCTATGACTGAGAAAACAAGTAAGTATATTGTGGCTAATGTGGTCCAGAAGTCTTGTTGGAGAAAGGAATTGCAAATAAGGAAAGGATGAAGACTAGAAGGAATTCTGTGATGTTGGATTGGAATTGGAGGTATCAGTTATAAACTCAAGTCACGGATATACACACACAGATGAATAGATATAGAAATAGATATAGATCTATGTACATATATGGCTGTGCCCATTCCTAGATCTGCTCACTGAAAAGGTTAGAACCAATGAGAATCCAGTAATAATGAGCAACTTAGTTCCAGATCTTGAGAAATTCCATATCCATCATGATTTTTAAAAACCCTCATGGTAACCTAAGGATAAAATAAACATCCTCAATTGGACAAAGAATATCTCTAAACACCTACAACATACATTCTGCTCAGTGGTCAAAATATTGAAAGTAGAAAAGACAAATGTTTAAGGTGATGAAAATCCCAGTTACACTGACTTGATCCTTACAAATTATATGAGTGCATTAAATGATCACATGTACTTTGAAAATATGTACATCTATTATGTATTAATGAAAAGAAAGCTAAAAAAAGAATTTGGCGAATAAAAAAGAAATACTGAAAGTTTCCCTTTCAAGACAGGTTGTCTTCCACCAACACTTCCATTTCACATTGTGCTGGAAGCCCTACCTGGTGCTGGAAGGCAAGAAAAGAAAAGGTGTAAGAATAAAAAATAAAGAGCCAAAATTATCATTATTTGTACATGTATGGTTTTGTATATTTAAAAATCTAAAGAATCCACAGTGTCCTTATTATAATTGAAAAGATAGCTGAGCAAATTTGCAGGATAAAAAATATACAAAAATACAAAATTCAATTTTATTTGTAAATGACAAAATATAAAAAGAATAAAATTTAAATAAAGAGAACATTTACACTATTATAAAATATCAAATACTTAGAAAAAAAATCTGCCAAAAGATATGCCAGACTTATACAGAGATGATTATACAAATTTATGAGAAAAACAGACCTAAATAAATAATTGATACATATACTGTGTTCACAGATTAGAAGACTCAATACTATAAAGAAGTAAATTCTTGCCATATTGATCTATAAATCCAATGCAGTCAAAATCAAAATCCCAGCAGGATTTTTATTAGGAACTTGAAAATCTGTGCCTAAGATTTAAGTGGAATAACAAGGAGTGAAGAAGAACTACAATACTCCCAAAGAACAACTTGGGAGCACTTGCTGTATTGGATGTCAAGGCCATTACAAATCTGTAGCCAACAATGTTGTATTTCTTGAGCTATTTAATGACTGCCCAGGTGTTTACCATACACATTAGGTTATACATTTATGCTTATGCACTTTTTTGGAAGAATAGACAATTTTTACTGTATTACGTTTCACAATAAAAGTGCCATTTGAAAAAGGAAATTAAAAATGATTCCCTCTTTCTGTCATTTCAACCAAGATTGATTTGTGGGTATTAAATGTTTGGGCTGCAAATGGCTCAAAGCCATGTAATATGCAATTTACTCAGTGGTATTTTGGCTAAATGCTCCTTGACCTGAGTAGAACTAGCTGAGAAAAATCTCTAGTATACTGGCAATACCATATAAGAATGAACTATGTAAAACCCAGGACTTTTATTAAATATCTTTTGTATATGTATCTTGGGCCTGGACCTTGAATTCAATTAAATAATGACCCTTTATATGAGGCCCCATTTCAATATGTCACAGACAGTAAATACTGTCATTTTTGACTGAACAAAGGAGTTCCTGAGTAATAGTGAGAGAAAAATAACATAGAAAAACAGTTTATAATATCTATTTCAAAAGGAAGATAAGTTTTTTAAAAAGCTAGATAGCATGTTTCTTTTACCAGAACCTTTTCTGTAGTTTTTTTTTCTCAATGTCAGTAAAAGTGTGTTCACATCTAGCCTGGGTATCTTAAACAAAAACCAAACCAAAACAAAACAAAACCTTTAGACCTAGTCTTCCCAGAAAATCTATCACACATGTTTCTCATAGTATTTTGGTAGCCTGTTTTCTCCCTCACTTCACCCTCAATCATAATCATCTTCTTTGCTTCTTCATCCTCCTCCAAAATTTTCTTCTCCATCTTCTACTTTTTACTTCTGACTCACTTTATCTGTTTCTGTGTCTTCACGTCAAAATAGAGAAGTTAAAGATGGAAGAGGTTCATAAAAAGAATAAGAGATGAAGATAAAATGAAAGTCAAATGAACAGAGGTGGTGAAAGAAAGAAAGATAAAGGGGAAGAGAAGGAGAGTTTAGTTATGGGTAGGGAAGGCAGAGAAGAAGCAGAAGCAGAGACAGATGGAAGGGGGTGAAATCGATCTGTGGGATTTAATTGGGGTACCACCTTCTATACCCCACTAATCCAAATATGACTGACAAAGCCATTTAAATAGTCCTTTAACACAAATTTATATCAGTCAGAATAGACTGAATCTGTGAAACAGCCATTTCCTGTAAATGGAGGTTAAGTATTTTTAAGAAAATACTTTCAGAAGAGCAGGAATTAGTATTGTGTTTATGTCCTGGATAAGATCAGGAAATTAAGCTTAGAGTTGCAGAGCATAGTTGGAAAACCAGGAAGGACCTGTGTTTTCCCTGCAATGTGGTTTCCCCAAGAAGCTGTGTGCTCTCAAAGTTAACTTTGAGAATTTGAAATGCTCCATGATAATGTCCTTTTGTAAATCAAAAAACAACCAACACACAGGATTTGATTTCACTGAAAAGAACACTTGACATTTACTGGACCTTTTCCAAATCCGCCCTAATTCACTGTGTACCATCAATGTATTACACAAGAGAGAAATGAAGCTGAGTTTCAAATTACAAATGATTTAAAGAAAAATAGCTGCCATCAAATGTAAATTTGTCTCCATGAATAAAATTCAACACTTACATTGTCGTCAAGCTGCTGTATACACATGTCTACCTGGGACACCTTACCACCTTTCCCAGATATGAAACGATAATAAATATCTTAGATACACGTTATCACGTGTATCAGTCCATTTTCATGCTGCTATAAAGAAACATCTGAGACTCGGTAATTTATAAACAAAAGAGGTTTAATTGACTCACAGTTTCACATGGCTGGGGAAGCCTCAGGAAACTTACAATCATGACGGAAGGCAAAGGAGAAGCAAGGACCTTCTTCACAAGACAGCAGGGAAGAGAAAGACAGGGATGGAGGAACCGCCGAACACTTATAAAACCATCAGGTAGTGAGAACTCCCTCACTATCATGATAACAGCATGGAGGAAACTGCCCCCATGATCCAATCACCTCCCACCAGGTTTGTCCCTTGACACATGGGGATTACAATTCGAAATGAGATTTTAGTGGGGACACAGAGCCAAACCATATCATCTTGCTAGCAAATGTATCAGAATATCGGTGCAGAAAGGCATGTTAGGGAGACTCTCATTTAACCCTTTTAAATTTTTATTGAGAAGTGGATACCTGGGAATGAGAGTCAAAATAATAATGATGATGAATATTTATTGATTATTTACTGTATGCCGTCAATTTAAGTGTATTAATTTATATTTAATAAAGTCCTTATAACAACCCAAGAAAGCATGTACTACTAATATGCCTATTTTACATTTTATAGATAAGAATCTTTACTTGTAGAGGAGAGGTACTATTTAAGTAAATGATAACCTGTTGTACTAATACTCAGTGGAAATTGTAGTTTAGTGGCTTATACAAGATCTCCACAATATTTAATGACTAGCTACTTGATGTCAAGTGCTGGGCTAAAGTGCCAAAGAAGTGATAGTAGACAAAACACAAGTGGTTCCCAGACCTCATGGAGCTTAGAATCTAGGGGCCAAAAGCAATCAATTAAGAAAGCAATAATGTAAAAATTTGCACTGTTAGGGTAAGTAAATGAAGACTATGGTAAGCAAACAGCAGATATATCTAACCTGGTTGGGAAGAGTCCGTGCTGGGGAACAGGGATGGGTACAGTTCATTCACAGAACTGGCATCCAGATTCCTTGATTCCTAGGCCAGGGCTCTTTTCAAGACCCCATGCTATACTGCTTCATTGTACTTCCATAGGGGAAAGGCTTAATCAGCTATTATTAGTGCTGTCCACCTGAGCTGCTCTGTTTGGTTAGTGAGCAGTTACAGTCAGCGTTGGTCATGCTCAGGCAAATGGAGCACTGATCTACTTCAAGCTGGGACTTAATCACTTGATGTACATCAGCACTTAGCACAAAACCTGACTTCTCAAATAAAAGCATGCTTGTATTGTGCCTATGATAAGTATTAAAACATGACCTGTGATATTCACTGACTAATGGTTGAGAAGGGAAAACTATCCTCAAGTTAAGGTAAAAAATATATTATTAATTTAGTAAATTTAGTCTAAAACCCTCAAATAACACGGATCAGATGATAAAACAAAATGAGAGACCCAGGCATGTTTTACCTCGGTAGGCCATTCTCGAGGTTTCATTCAGAATCATTCTATCTAATCTAAAAACTTCACTAGGATGGCTATCATTAAAAAGATGGGCAATGACCAGTGTCAGTGAGGATGTGGAGATATTAGAACCTTCCTACCTTCCTGATGCGAATGAAAAATGGTGCAGCTGCTGTGGAAACAGTTCTAGAAAATTCCTCAAAAAGTTAAATATAGAGGTGCTATATGATCCGACAATTCTACCGTTATATACCCAAGATAACCAAAAAGAAGTCCAGATAAAAACTTGTCTACACATGTTCATAGTAGCATTATTTGTAATAGACAAAAAGTGGAAACAATTCAAATGTTCATCAGCTGATGAATGGGTAAACAATATGTGAGATATCCATAAAATGGACATTATTCAGTCATAAAAAGGGATGAAGTAATGAAATATGCTACAGCATGAAGGAATCTTGAAAGCATTGCATTAAGTGAAAGAAGCTAGACATAAAATGCCATATATTGTATGATTCCATTTGTGTGGAGTATCTCCAGTGTCTCTAGACAGAAAGCAGACTAGTATTGCCGGAAGCTGGAGGAGGAGGCAATGGAGAGTGATTGCTTGCTAATGGGTATGGGGTTTTGGGGGAGGGAGATGAATGTTCCAAAATTAGGTAGTGTGTGGTAGTCACACAATGCAACTAGCTGACTAAATAATACACTTTAAAGTGGTGAATTTTATAGTATGTGACTTATACCTCAATAAAGCTATTATCTAAAAAATTTGTGGTCTATCGATGGACTTGCAGTTTATACAGAAATCATGACTATGTTTAATATGTTCACATATTTCTGTCCACCTCAAACAAGTATAAAATTGAGGAAAATGTGAGATAATTGAAGCCTAAAAATACTTTTACTGTAAATATGCAGCTACTTTATGCAAGCATGATTTCTTCCACTCCATTGTCTCTGTTCTTATTTCAATTTAAGTATGCAAACAGAGCTATCGAATGTCACTTTTAATTCTAACCTGATTCTTTATATTTGAGGGTTGGTTTTTTTTTTTGTACTTAGAATTTATTTATTTATTTTACTTTAAGTTCTGGGACACATGTGCAGAATGTGCAGGTTTGTTACACAGGTATACATGTGCATGGTGGTTTGCTGCACCTATCAACCCATCATCTAGGTTTTAAGCCCCGCATGCATTAGGTATTTGTCCTAATGCTCTCTCCCTTTTGCCCTCCAACCACCTGACAGGCCCCAGTGTTGTCATGTTCCCCTCCCTGTATTTGAGTTTTATTTCTTTTCTAATCATATTCTCCTTACAATTCTTCTCTCTGTGTCCATGTTCTCCACGGTCTCAAGTGACTCTTCTCATTCTTTTGTGACTCTCATAATAGTCTTTTTCTGGGTTATGTCATGAAAACCCTTGTCAAAGTGCAGCTAATATGCAGGACATTGAAACTCCAACCACTTGAAGAGGATCATCCCACTGGATCAAAGCCTCTTCTACTTCAGTGGCGTCAGGGCTACTTGTCAGCGCTATTTGTCTAGCTGTTGACCTGTGTATTTTCCACCCCTTTTGGCTGGATGGGTCTAGAATTGTTAACTAAAGAACACTGGTTGCTAAGCCTGGAAAGACCAAAGCTGTTCACTGACTGCTTCCTGTTTGTACCGTATGGTATGGGCAGAAGGGAAGATGGAGCCTTATTCTGCTTACGTCTGTTTGTACAGAAGATGAGGGAGGCTTTTTGTGTCTTGCTTACCTAGACACACTCAGAACTGATTTCAGAGCCAATCTGCAGTAAAATCCGAAAATGTGCTATGCATAATTACACAAGCAAACACAATGTCCCAAGACAAATATGTTCTATTAGTAAGCAGTCCAGAATTAAGTAAAAGCAGGTGTTTCCTATATTGGGTCTGATTGCCTACATGTGTGGCTACTCAGAAATTATTTCTTAATTATTCTGCAGGGTTAGCTCCAGCAGAGAGAAAGAGAGAAAACTCCATGGGAGTTCTGAGGGCTCTCTGGTCCTCTGTTGAATTAAAGCTTAAGCAGCTGAATCCTGTAATTACTATACTTAATTTTTTTAAAAGCCATCATGGCCCACTTTTTTCTAAGTCAGCAAATTATACATTTCAACTACTATATTAATTTTCCTCTTGATGTTATTTCTGGAGGATCTCAGGCTTTATTCATCCAGTGCCCCATTTTGACAGGGACTTTACCTAACTTTGTGCCACATGGTTGGCATGCAAAATGCTCCTGAGTTTGAGATCTACATTACAATATACGACCATGAGAGAAATGAATGATATAAAAAGGGTGGTCATCTACTTAACACAAGGAGGCCTTCTGTCATGTTCGTATTGCCAAGACGGGAGCACCCTAACCAGCCCTAGAAAGCAGACATTTATTTCTGTTAAGGAGAAAGAACTGATGATTTTATTCACTTCTCACTCTTAGCATTTTCCATGGATTAAGCAGAAGGGACAGTGTTGGGAGCCAGGATATTGCTCGATCTGGGGACAAACTGTATACAGTATAGAAGCACTCACTTTATTCTTGGCATCACATTAGGTACCAAAACATGAAAAATTTACACATTTAGTCTCTACCTTCAAACCATCTTCAAGGACGTTAAAACTAATTTGGTGCCTAGAATGCATAAATAAAGGTAATCAATAATTAAAAGCAATATATGCTGAATGCCGAAAACTGTCATACGCTCCCACGTTATGGGCAATTTTAGGAGGGTGAGATCTGAGGGTGTGAGCTGGATAAAGATGATGTGCGAAAGTTGGGGAACCTAGACTCTTATCAGCTTATTGAAGTAATTAATAATACTAAAAAAGAATTAATTCTGAAAATTCTTATGACATCCCTTAAAAGTTTAAATCAAGGACTTTAAAGATTAAAAGGGTTGCACAATGAGGCCCATTTCCCACACATGGAGAAAACTGGACCCTGGACTCAAAGTAGTTAGAATTAATGCTAAAGGCCTGAGCCTCTAACTGTGTAAGATTCCCTTTTCTTCTGAAATTATATCCATTCTTACTTTTTTTGTGCTATTCTTTCTTTTATTAAATTGTGGTGGGTGATGACAGATGGCAAGATTTGTTTGTGTCTTTCCTTGGCAAAAACCTGAAAGTTGGCAACTATGTGTTTACCCTCCTCCTCCATCCTTAAATTTTACGGATTCATGAAATCTCAAAGTGTAGTAATGACTTCTCTAGATCTAAGCTTCTGTAAAGAGCCAGATAGTAAGTATTTTAGACTTTGCAGGCCATACGGTATCTTTTGCAACTGTTTGACTCTGCCAGCATAGTGTAAAAGCAGCCATAGACAACATATAAACAAATGAGTGTGGCTGCATTCCAATAAAATTTCATTATGAACATTGAAATTTGAATTTTCTAACTTTTTCTGTCTTACAAAATATTATTATTAGTCTCATTTTTTTTCAACTATTTTAAAAAGTAACAACCATTCTTAGCTTTGTGGCTATACAAAAATAGGTGACTGGACAGATTTGGTCCTGGAGCCATAGTTTCCCAATCTCTGCTCTATATGAAAACAGACTGGGCGAGCTGTTAACCCATGAAGTCAGACAGCAGCAAGACTTATCCTGACAATTTCCTTTTATGTAAATATACGTCATCCTTCATTAATTTTCCAAAGCAAAATCAGGAATGTAAAAAGAATGAAATGAGTTAAGTTTTAAAACCCAATTACAAGCTGCACAAATGAGTCATAAACCCCTAATAGGGAAAAATGACAGCTGTCTTCCTATGTGGCCTTGGTCAGGTATGTGTCCCCACACCATCCTTTTGTTAGGTGTGGTGGCTTCCAAGTGGAGGACAGTGACGGTTCATTCTGGGTTGAGGAAGATAAGAGACCATCCAGACTCCTTCAAAAAATGTAATTCAAATTGGAAGAGAAAAGAGAGTCAAGAATGCCAAGAGATTTGCTTGTGCAAAGTGTGCAGGTGGGAAGAAGACTACGCCAGGTAGAGAGAAGAGCAAGGGCGAAGGCACTGAGGTAGGAGTGAGTTTAGTACATTTGAGAAGGCAGCCAGGGTGGCTGGAGCAACATAGGTGAGGTGGAACATGGGAGGAGACGAGGAGGGAACGTAGCCATATCCAGGGCCTCGTTAGTCAATCTAAGAGCTGTATTCCGAGCGACATGGAAAGTTATTGGAGAGTTTTGAATAGAAGGATGGCATGATTTAGCTCCTTTTTAAAGAGGATTATGCTGACTGTTGTGTTGAGGGCAGACCATGGCAGATGGCCAAAGGGTAGAAAGAGAGATAGGTGACTTAAAGTGTTGTTTCGGTAGTTTAAATAAGAGTGATGTTGACTTGGGCTAGAGCAATGGAAATGGGTCTGAAGCAAAGAAGAATGGGGAGCTTTGAGAGATCTAAGAATTAGTCAGATGTGAGGATTGATTTGGTGTGAGGAATGATGGAGAAGGAGAAATCAGGGAGGATGCTAATAACCTCTGGGTGGTAGCAATATAACTGCTGTCTACCAGCATTAGTCTGTTCTCACGCTGCTAATAAAGACATACTCGAGACTGGGTAATTTATAAAGGAAAGAGATTTAACTGACTCACAGTTCCACAGGGTTTGGAAGGCCTCAGGAAACTTACAATCATGGCAGAAGGGGAAGCAAACACATACTTCTTCACACAATGGTAGGAAGGAGAAATGCCAAGCAAAAGGGGCAAAAGCCCCTTATAAAGCCATCAGATCTCGTGAGAACTCACTATCATGAGAACAGGATGGGGGAACTACCCCCATGATTCAGTTATCTCCACCTGGTCCCTCCCACAACAAGTGGGGATTATGGGAACTACAATTCAAGATGAGATTTGGGTGGGGACACAGCCAGACTATATCACTACCTCTCTAGATCCCTCATGAGACAGAAGCCCAAGGAGGCCAAGAATATGTCCACATCACTTACAATTTTATGCCAGTGCCTGGTACAGGGTAGGCACTCAATTGTTTAAGTAAATTAATGAATGAAATATGTTGGGCATATTAAAGGGAGATTATCAAACCAACATGGATTAGTCAGAGAATTCAGAATAATAGTCTTGATATTCTTGTGTTCTTGGACAAGTTGAATGTTAAACCATCTAGATTTCCAAACGGTGGGAGTGGGCGCTGAGGAGTAGTTATATATTACTGTAACTGTATACATGTAAGAGATTTTGCCTCTAGGAAAACCTGCAAAGGGAATAGAGGTTTTCATGATAGCATGCGTCACAATGTGAAAGCTCAGATATGTATGTTTAGCTCACTAAATATTGGCCCCTACAAAGTTTTAAACACTTTGATTTAGTTTCCAGCATTAAAAATAAGCAGAATTCACATAAACATTTAGATGTCTAGCTTTTCTTGAAGAAATCAACGTCTGGTCCTATTGGCTCCTTCTTTCTTTGTCACAAGTATTAGATGGAGCTAAGTTCCATCCACTGTCTTTAGGGGGCTCGGGTCATCCTTCGGTCATTAGATATCCCCTCTATTCCCTATTGTCTTACAAATACCGAGAATGAGGGGAAGTTTATTCTGTCATGTTATACCCAGCCCTGTTCCTCACTTTCATTTTCTGTTTTGGACCCAGAGGGAACTTTTTGTTGTCTGCTGTTTCAGCAACACATGTTGAAGGCCTCCTGGGCCAGGTGCTGGAGATATGATCATCTCTAAATAGATGCAGCATTTGCCATCAGAGACCTTAAGGTATACAAGAGGAGACAGAAAAAAAGAACAAATCAACACATAAATAATTCCAAGCTATGGTAAAAACTACGAAGAAAAACAGTATGCAGCAAAAGAGAAAAAATATGGAGGGAAGATGGAATTAAGTTGCTCAACGGAGGCCTCTGTGAGGAGGCAATGGTTAAGCTATGCGAAAAGCCAGGAAGGAGAGGGTTGGGAGCTGAGGGAACGGCAGGACTGAGGTCCTGCGTGGACAGAGCTCGGGATTGTTGACATGCTCATGAGAGGAGAAAGGCTGTAGACATGCTCACCAAAGGAGAAAGGTTAAACAGGAGCTAAGACCCTCCTTAGCTGTTGCAACTAAGTAGCAAATGGATTTCCTGCTTATTCTGGTCTGAACTCTTCAAATGAAACTCTTTTTAATTATTGGAACCATGTTGCCAAGGTTTATTATCTGTATCTTGTATAAACAACTCTTGTTTCCAGAAGACATTTAGAGTTTGCCCAAAATAAAAGTCACCTGTTGGTCACTCTGCTTATTTATGATAGCATCTAATTACTGAGAACAAGCTTACATGAATGATTTTTTAGTGCACAATTTCTCTTCTATTGAAAAGAATCTTTGACTTTTCTTTCTTCACAGAAGCTGGAGACAGCTTTTCCCTACAATTGAGCTGGGATGAGCCGAGTCCCAAGAGGAGATGCAGGCTAGGTTTCCTAAGACCCTGCCTACTCCCTTTGGGTTGTGTTTCAGTTTATCTTACAGAGTGAACTTTCTTCCCATATCCTTGTGTTATTTAATATGTATTATTGCCATATGCCTGCGTTATTATTTTTAAAATACCTTTATTTTAATTGACTCACTTTTTATGCTAAATTCATTTAGAAAGGAAAATTTTAACACTATCACAAATAGAAAATTAGCATCAATTGTCATAAATAGAAATGCCAATAAAATAAATTCTCTGTTGCTTGCCAAAGGCTCTGAGCCAAATGCTTGCTTTCATTTTATTGGCAAAAGAGATTAGCAGTAGTTTTAAAAGCATATTAGCACCGAACTGAGTCATTATCTTTGATGGTTATTGGAAGGGTAGAAAAGGGAATACATCTCTCTTTGAGATTCAGTATTACTTAATTCAGAGATCAATGAGCCGCCTAAAATCATTCCAATTGCCACTGGTGAAACACTTGAGAAATACAGGAATTTTCAAACGAAACAATCTCTGTTCAGCTTAATTTACCAAGGAAGGGAACTGGGTCTTCCAGTGTTGAGTAGCTCCCGCTAGACTCAGCACAGGGCCAGGTATAGGACAGACACTCAACAATTGCCTTGATGTGTATGGCGAAGACTGCACCACTGCCTCTAGCAGACAGCCACAAAAGTGTTTATTTTTATTACAAATATTAGGGTGTCATGAGATGACTGAACTGCTGGAAAATAAAATCATAGGGCTGGGACGGTTGCCAGTCAATACCAGCACCTCTTTTGTGTTAATAAAAACATAAAAGTAGCAGTGTAGCATTTTAAAGGGGAATTGACTTTGGACCTAGGTTCAAATATAGGCTTAGGAATTCATTAATTTCAGACCTTGGACTGGTTATTTGATATCTCTGGCTTCAGTTTTCTTGTCTGTAGTATGGGTCTGATGACACCTTTCAAAGGAATGTTATCAGGATTAATAAGGTAACATAGATTGTACGGCTACCACGTAGTAGGGTTCATTAATTTGGAGCTAGTTTTAAGAACAACACATAGATAGGCTACAATAGCTCTAAGACCTCGTCTTATATGACAGTTGGAAAAAAAAAGATATATTTGGAGAATTAGGCAAAACAAAAAATTTTTATCTACGGATATAAGTTAGAAAGAAATCTTGAGGAAATTATGCAGGTCTTGAAGGTCAAAAATTCTGCGCAGTAGAACCAACCAAGGCCAGCTTGTATTGTTGTTGTTTTGGTCTGGATGCATGTAGATCATTTTCTAGATTTTTCTCTTTTTTTTTCTTCCAATCTGGCTAGAGCTTTAATATGGAGTAACAAATATGCTACTTTGTCTATCTTTGTCTTAAGGATGTTTGGTATATTGAAGAATTACTTTTAAGATTTAAGATTTTTACTTGATGCCAAAGCATTTATTCTGATTAGATCAATATATCAACATTTTTTATTGAGTCTAGTTACCTGAAAAAGTCAACGAATCATATTCCATGCATGCTTTGGAAACAATTATCACATGCAGACTGAGCTAAACATTGCCACTGAGAGGAGCACAGCAGTCACAGTCAATAGGTCAATAGGAAAACCACACTGGATCTCTTCTATCAGTGCTCGATGGTAATGCCTGACACACTTCCTGTAGCTACATTGACACATTATTGTGATATACTGAAGACTGCATGTTTCTTTTTTATATTAGTCCACTCTTGATTTCGTAAAGAAATTTTATTGCCTTAAGATTCAGTTTACAATACTTACAGTCTTCTCTAGAAGCATTATATTACATTTCACTACACATAGGTAAAATAAAGCTAATCTGGAAAATAATTTTGTAGACCAACTGTAAATCTTATTGCTTATACACTTTCCTTAAATAACATTAGTAACTCTGCCTAAGTTAATGCCAAAAGAGTTCAAAACTCAATGCATTATACACACAGTGGTGAAAATTAACAGAAAAACAAGTATCCAATTGGCATTTTCGAGTAGCTGTTTCTGCTGTGTTTTGAGACTCAGAAACATGACTCAAGGATTTACTTTTCATCACACCTTGCAGGTCCATTTTAGTGTATGCCTTCTTCCTTAACTGAAATAAACAGATTTTTTTTTTCTTTTTAACTGTAGGGATCATATTTGTTCATTAGCTGAAGTCATTCCTTGGTTACTCGGAATTTCTGTGACAGGATTTTTTCTTTTCTTTCTTCTGTTTTTTTTTTTTTTTTTTTTGAGACGGAGTCTCGCTCTGTCGCCCAGGCCGGACTGCGGACTGCAGTGGCGCAATCTCGGCTCACTGCAAGCTCCGCTTCCCGGGTTCACGCCATTCTCCTGCCTCAGCCTCCCGAGTAGCTGGGACTACAGGCGCCCGCCACCGCGCCCGGCTAATTTTTTGTATTTTTAGTAGAGACGGGGTTTCACCTTGTTAGCCAGGATGGTCTCGATCTCCTGACCTCATGATCCACCCGCCTCGGCCTCCCAAAGTGCTGGGATTACAGGCGTGAGCCACCGCGCCCGGCCTCTTTTTTTTTTTTTTTTTTTTTTTTTTATTATACTTTAAGTTCTGGACACCTGTGCAGAATGTGCAGGTTTGTAACCTAGGTATACATGTGCCATGGTGCTTTGCTGCACCCATCAACACGTCATCTACATTAGGTATTTATCCTAATGCTATCTCTCCACTGGCCTCCTACCCCGCAACAGGCCCCAGCGTGTGATGTTCCCCTCCTTGTGTCCATGTATTCTCATTGTTCAGCTCCCACTTATGAGTGAGAACATGCGGTGTTTGGTTTTCTATTCCTGGGTTAGTTTGCTGAGAATGATGGTTTCCAGCTTCATCCATGTCCGTGAAAAAGGACATGGACTCATCCTCTTTTATGGCTGCATAGTATTCCATGGTGTATATGTGCCACATTTTCTTTATCCAGTCTATCATTGATGGGCATTTGGGTTGGTTCCAAGTCTCTGCTATTGTGAACAGTGCTTCAGTAAACATCCATGTACATATGTCTTTATAGTAGAATGATTTATAATCTTTTGGGTATATACTCAGTAATGGGATTGCTGGGTCAAATGGTATTTCTGGTTCTAGATCCTTGAGGAATCACCACACTGTCTTCCACAATGGTTGAACTAATTTACATTCCCACCAACAGTGTGAAAGTGTTCCTATTTCTCCACATCCTCTCCAGCATCTGTTGTTTCCTGACTTTTTAATGATCGCCATTCTAACTGGCGTGAGATAGTATCTCATTGCGGTTTTGATTTGCATTTCTCTAATGACCAGTGATGATGAGTCTTTTTTCATGTTTGTTGGCCGCATAAATGTCTTCTTTTGAGAAGTGTCTGTTTACATCCTTTGCCCACTTTTTGATGGGGTTGTTGTTTTTTTCTTGTAAATCTGTTTAAGTTCTTTATAGATTCTGGATATTAGCCCTTTGTCAAATGGATAGACTGAAAAAATTTTCTCCCATTCTGTAGGTTGCCTGTTCACTCTGATGATAGTTTCTTTTGCTGTGCAGAAGCTCTTTAGTTGAATTAGATCCCATTTGTCAATTTTGGCTTTTGTTGCCATTGCTTTTGATGTTTTAGTCATGAAGTCTTTGCCCATGCCTATGTCCTGAATGGTATTGCCTAGGATTTCTTCTAGGGTTTTTATGGTTTTAGGTCTTATGTTTAAGTCTTTAATCCATCTTGAGTTAATTTTTGTATAAGTTGTAAGGAAGGGGTCCAGTTTCAGTTTTCCACATATGGCTAGCCAATTTTCCCAACACCATTTATTAAATAGGGAATCCTTTCCTCATTGCTTGTTTTTGTCAGGTTTGTGTGACAGGATTTTTTCTGAAAGGCACTAGTTTTCTAATTTCTTTTATGTATTACTTTACTTATTTATTTATTCATTCAACAGACATTTATTAAGAACTGCATAGTGCTAAGCCCTGGGTTAGATTCTTGGAAGTAGTATGGAGGTGGTAGATAGTACACAAAGATGTGTAAGACTAGGTGTCTGCCCTCCAGGAGTGTACAGTCTAAGATTACGTAGAATTCGTATAAGCAATTAAACAGATATCACAGGAGCAAATGGTAGGTGCAATTAAGTGCTGCAAGGAAAGATTGGAGGAATCTAGGAGGGCATAGGTCAGATCTTGGTGGATGGGCAGAATGTCACTTTATGAAGATTCTGTAGAAGCAGGACATCCCAGGAGGAGGGAATTTTCTTTATATGAACTCTTATTCAGTTTAGTCTGATTCAATCATCATTTATTGAGTGACTGCTAAGATTAGCTACCTGGGACTCAGAAATAAAAATGAGCTTCCAGATTGAAAGATACCCTAAATGTCTGGCACAGAGGATGAAAATAGACCTGTGCTGAGGCTCATCATTGTGAAATTTCAGAATGTTAGGGGTGCATTTTTTAATTTTTCAAAAGCCTTCAGAAAGAAAATACAGAAGATAGTCATGAACTTCTCAACAAAAAATTTGTCAGCATTAAGGCATTGGAGCAATGTTTGCAATTATTCAGGGAAAATTATATTTCTGATGTGGAATTGTATATCTAGCCTATCCCTTAATTAAATATGAGGATTATTTACTTATTTATATGGGTTTAGGGGGACACGTGCAGTTGTGTTACATAGATATATTGCCTGGTAGTGAAGTCTGGGCTTTTAGAATATCCATCACTCGAATAATGTACATTGTACCCAATAGGTAGTATTTCAACCCTCACCTCCTTTTCACCCTCCCACCTTTTGGAGTCTCCAGTGTCTGTTATTTCATTCTGTATGTCTGTGTGTACCCATTGTTTAGCTCCCACTTGTGAGAACATGAGGTTTTGAACTTTCTGCTTCTGAGTCATTTCACTAAGAACAATGATGTCCAGTTCTATCCATGTTGCTGCAAAAGACATAATTTTATTTTATTTTTTGGCTGAGTAGTGTTCCATGATGTATATATCTATCTCCAGATACAGATATATAGATAGATAGATATCACATTTTTAAAATCCAGTCGTCATCTCTTGATGGGCACTTAGGTGGAATCCATGACTTTGCTGTTGTAAATAGCTCTGTGATGAACATACAAGTGCATTTGATAAAAATGATTTCTTTTCCTTTGGGGAGACACCCAGTAGTGGATTGCTGGATCAAAGGGTAATTCTATTTTTAGTTCTTTGAGAAATCAAATATGGGGGTACATTTCAGGCATTTTCAGACATACACTGTTTCTCAGGAATCTACTTTAAAAAGTGCTCCATAAAAACAAGGGAAAATACCAAGATGGCAGGAGATATAGGGTCCAGAATATTGAATCCATCTTAAGAGAGTGGTAAGAGAATCCTTGATGATGGTGAAGGGTTCTCACACCAAGGTGCAACAGACATAAAGAGAGTCCTGTCCAAACAGTCCAGGAGGCCAGCAGGCTGTGGAAAATGTTCCCAGGAAGATGGCATTGATGGATTACATAACGCATTTGAACATAGTGAGAGAAGATTGGACAAATGGCTGAGAATTTAGGGTTGAATTGGTGAGAAATACATAGAAAACTAAGCAAAAATACACATGGCAAAGTATTTAAGAAGAAAAAAGCAATCATAGTCAATTATATACCTCAGGAGTGAATAGGCTTTACATAGCCTAATCATGTAAACCAGCGGTTCCCAATATTTTTGGCACCAGGGACTGATTTCATGGAAGACAATTTTTCCATGGATGGTGTGCAGGGTTGGGGGATGGTTTCAGAATGAAATTTTTCCATCTCAGATCATCAGACATTAGATTCTCATAAGAGCATGAAACCCAGATTCCTCGCATGTGCAGTAGGAGGCGGAGCTCAGGTGGGCATGGTTGCTTACTGGCACCTCACCTTACTGGCAGCTCACCTGGTTCCTAACAGGTCACGGACCTTTACTGTTCCATGGCCTTAGGGTTGGGAACCCCTGATGTGAACACTGAGTATGTGTCTATACAGAATTGTGATACAACTATGAAGGGGCAGAAGTTACTGTGGATGGCAAGACTGCATTGGTGGTTAAGCAGAGAGGGGCTTTTAGACTACATAATGCCTAAAACTAAAACAATCAAGAAAAAGGAAAATGATATTATTTAGAGATATGGAGGCAAAATGCTGAAAGCTATGAAAGTGGGATGATTGTCTTGGAGAAGCTGGATATGGGGCAGGCTGGGGAGGGCAGAGAATTGTTGTTTTTCATAATAAGCCTAGCAGAAGTAATTGATCTAACTAGGTGTATAAACTAAATAAATAAAGCACTAAGTATTTTTAAAGATACTATTTTTCTTCACAATTTATCCAGGGAGTTTAGGTCTGGGGAATGGTTGCATTTTTTAAATGGCATATGATCCAGTTAGGCAGCAAATAGAAATGCCTTTGAAGAGCTCTGCTTGACTACATTTTTTGATCAGTGATATGATGTTTATGGTCCAGTATACTAGCCCAGACTCCTCCCTTATGTGAATATGGTAAACCTGGGCATACTCTAGATATTTAGAGTGTCTGTATTGATCTTCCTGAAAGTGACTAAACCCACCAAGAGCTTCAAGAGTTTGCACACTAACAGAAATACATTCAAACATTCAATTTGTTCTGTTCTGAAAAGGCAGAAAGCAGCAGAAACATTATAGTTCAAAGAATTCATGTAAAGCTATAACAGTCAATAGGGGGCACGGAAACTGTTTCCATTGCAGCTAGCACAGTGCCTAGTACTTGATAAAAGCGCGATATACATTTGTTGAGTGAATGAATGAATGAATGAATGAATGAAATATAGCAAGTTGCTTTTTGGATAGCTGACAGGATGGTCTTCAAATGCCAGAGCAAAACATTTGGTCACTTGCTTTCACTTATCCTTTAAATCTAGCATCACAAACACTTAGCCTCAAAACCTCAAGGGACATAATTAGAAATATTTTATGCATAGATTTCCTGTTCCATTTGGAGTCAAACCTAAGGCTTTAAGATTTATAGCCCCCAGACATGTTAATACGCTTTCTGGAATTCACCTAGGATAGCAATGAGCAGTAGCTTTCAAAATGCCTTTCTTTGTAAGGGCATTTCAGTTGCATAAAAATATTCCAGACAGATGCCCTGAGCTGATTCTTGTCCCTCATCTCTGCACAGCCAGAATGGCCCTGGTTTTATCTTTTTTTTTTTTTTAACATATGAGAGTTCCATCCAGAATGATGTCTCCAGCACTCAAAATGTTTGAAAATCACTGATGTAGGACAGAGCTGTTCTAGCAGGGCAGGTTTTTACTTCTTGTTTTATGTTTTCCATAAAGATCAGAGCGGACATGGGGTTTCAACACACAGTGGACAGCATTAGAGCCAATTTAATTAGAATGTCACTGACAGGGCACCTCAGCTGATATCACATATATTAAAAATATATGTGATATATTTTACACACACACAACTCCCACATGCTTGAGTAGGCATCCAAGGGGTAACATATACTTTACTTTCCTATAAATAAATGTAATTTTTATTGTAACTCATATTTCCTTCTAAAATCAGAAGCTTTGACCAAGTGTTCCCAAGTAAACCCAGTCAAATTATTCCTCAGTCATTTTCATTTTAAACTCAGGCAATTTTAAGGTTCTGCCCTTGTCTATTTTCTGCCCGTGAGTAACATTTAAATTCCACAGAGGGCTCATGCAGGCACGTGTGTGGATGTGTGTGAGTGTGTGGATGGGTGTGTATGTGGATGAGTGTGTGTGCACACTTGTGTGTGCTGGGTATATGTAGTCGGTGGCTATTCTGTGCCTTCTGCTGGCATCAGCTGCTATTTAACTTCCTAGTCTCTGGAAATTGGTCCTTATGCCCATGACTTCTGCCACTGCCTGAGGTCCTAACATGGGTTTAAGCTTCCTCAAGTCCACTGGTGCTCTCTCAGCCACATCCAAGGCCCCTAGGGCCTGCATGCTTTCAGCTGTCACTGTATCACTTGCAAGTCTGAGAGAAACTCAAAGCTGTGTCTCATGGCTTCTTACGCCTGGGCTCATTTTGCTTAATTCCTCCTTTGCCACCATGCTGTGCAGCACCTATCCAAGAGTGCTGCCACACTGAATTCTCCGATGGGAGCCAGGCATTCATGCCCTCTCCAGGTCCGTAATTTAACCAACATGCACCAGAATGATCATTTGGATTAATTGGGCATCTCTTCTAATTGGCCAGTGCTTGTGATTTTCTGTTTGTTGAGTACTTAGGATCCTACCTTTCCTCCCAAATCCCCCAAACGACAGGAAGCTCAGTAACCCTCTTTCTTCTCTAGATGTTGGTCTGATGAGGACAGAAACTGAGGTGGCATGCTCATATTCCACAGATGCTTTTTCTTCAAGGTAACTCTTTTTTTCTAGCCCAGGCAACATTTATCCAGTCTCTAGGATACGGCAGCCTGACTCTTCATCTATTCTCTTTCCATTCCATTGCTTATGGCACAAACCTTATGCCTGACTTCCTTTGGGCTGGGCTTCTTGCTGCTCAAAAGAAACTGGATCTTGAATATCAATGACCTTGACTTTATAGATTTCCATCTCCACAGTGAGATTTAAATTTTATTTTTAGAGATGCAAAAGCTGAGCACCGACTGCTTATTTTCCTTTTGTGTTCTTGGTTTAAAACCCTGCATCCTCTCTGAAGCAATTCCTGCTGCTGACTGAGTAGGAAAGGAGCTTGGGGAACCCTGGTTAATATCTCAAAATTTCATCCTGCCACAAACATATGAGTGATGGGGCTGTCCAGTCCCTCCTTTCTGCAAACACAGAAAAAAGCCCCAAAATTACAGAGACACAATTGGCCATGATATCCCTTAAAGCCATGTTAATGGTAGAGCGGTTTGCAATGTAATACATGGTTATGAAAAAATAGTTCTTGTACCACAATAAAGTCAAGTTATATTAACAATAAGAATATAGGATTCTTATGTAGACCAAATGAGGGGTTGTCTCAGAAAGGTAATCTACGGAGTTCTGTGATTTTTTTTTTTTTTTTGTACACTAAAAATTATTTTGGAGCTGTGCATGGTGGCTGATGCCTGTAATCGCAGCACTTTAAAGAGAGTCACTATATCATTTGGAAGTCTGAGCTTGAGCTGAGGAGTTTGAGAACAGCCTGGGTAACATAGGGAGACTCCGTCTCTACAAAAAATAAACAAAATTAGCCAGGAGTGGTGGCACATGCCTATGATCCCAGCTACTCAGCAGGCTGAAGTGTGAGGATTGCTTGAGTCCTGGAGGTCGAGGCTGCAGTGAGCCCAGATCTGCCACTGCACTCCAGCCTGGGTGCCAGAGTAAGACCCTGCCTCAAAAGAAAAAGATTATTTTGCAGTTCTAAGTAGAACACTTCACCTCCATTACCCCCGGGTTTACCCAGATTCACACGTACCATGGGATGGACATTGGGCTTCTTTTTGTTCAGAACCCAGCATCAAAAACAGCAGAAAAAAGAATGCCAGTGATCTGCAGAAAATGCACAAGACTGAGGAAATTTACAGGACAAGACCTGACTGGGAACTTAAGAATTCCAGAGTGAGCCGTGGCATGCTCCCAAAATAGAAGAGTGGAACACTGGGAGAAGAGAAAAGATTTTTTAAAATCTATGAAGAAACTGTATGAAGAGGAAAAGAGAGGTAAAGTTAGAAAAACAGGAACCATTTCAGATGACTGCCCATGGAGGTCTAGAATACATTCAAAAGGGAACCATTATGTGTCTGGGCAATGAGTCCAGTTCTTTTCTGCAGAGCAAGAAGATAAAGTTGCTACATAAAGCCTTTCTTTTTCTTTCTTTCATAGCTCACTACTGCCTTGAACTCCTGGCCTTAATGCCATCCTCCCACCTCAGCCTGCGTAGTAGCTGGGACCACAGGTACACACCACCATGGTGTGTGTACCTCAGAAGCAATCTTCCCCAGCTTCTCTCATCACTTTTTATTGCCAGAAAACCATCCCTTTGTCACCCAGCAAAGAGACTGAAGGTGTTTTCCCCAGAGACACCAGGCACAGTTAAGTGTGGAGGCTTCACACTGAAACACGGAACTAAGTGAGGCACAGTGAGTGCAGTCCTCAGGGTTCTTGTCCTTTTCCTCTGGTGGCTGGCCCTTTTTGCTGAAGATTGCAGGTCAGGGAGTCTTCTCTCTGGAATCCAACTAACCCAAGAGGAAAGACTTAAAGACTCTGGCATTGAGGTTTTCTCAACTCTTCTATCTGGCCAGGCCATCCTGCAGCAAAACTCACAGTTGCCAGTTCCCATTTAAATGATTACGGATTTTCTTTTCTCGCTCTCAACTGTGATCTAGCAACATGGATAACTGGAAATTGGAGGAATGTCTTTACCATGAGAAAAGGGACTGAACCATAGGGGAAAAAACACCATAGTGGTCACCTTATTTTTGCAGGAAAAAAAGCAAAAAATAAAAAAATAAATAAAACAAAACAAGCAAACAAATAAAACCCCCTAGCATTAATATTCTCAGACATGAGAAGATATTATAACCATGAGAGAAGAACAGGAAGAAATTAAAAGGAACATTTATAAAATAAAACTGATATTTTAGAAATTAACAATATGATGGAGAAAATAATTCTAGTTGAGAAAAAATTTTCAGAAATTTTGGCATAAAGAAAAAAGTAAATAAGATAAAGAATAATTTTTATCTGTTATAGACAATGATTTGGTGGTAATATTTGAAGGAAAGAGGATATTTAAAATTACAGAAACCAGCAGATTGTACAGCTTGAGATAAAATGAGAGAATAATTCAATTTATACAGTTCTTTAAACATCAAAACATAGAAAACAGTAAAACTTTAAGTGTCAGAACATCAAGGCAGGTAGCAAGTTCTCAAACACTAAATTAAATGAGTCTTACTTCCATCACCAATACAGTGAAAAATCTGTTACATGAGGCTTATTAGCAAGTCATGATCTCAATGCCCCTATTTTTGATGAGAAGTGAAGGCATAACCTAGACTCACAGACTAGTGCAAAGAATGCCCCTTTATGTGAGTCAGTCCAGTTAGTCTTTACAAGCTCCATAAGGGGCAAGGTGGGGTGGACTCTCAATCCCTGTGGCTGCTTCTGTGACACCTCTGATTCAACCAAAAGAAATTGTTGACCAAACTTAATTTGCTTTTTCCTTCATTTCTTATATTGCTGTGATTCATTTGGAATGCCCTTGAGGTTCTATGTGTTATTAGATGCTGGAAAAATTTTGACAAGATCAAGTATACCCTAGCAACATGAAATAGAGAATTGAGATAGTTAAGAAGAAATGCTAGATTAATATTTCACTTTCCCTAAAATATGCATGTAGTTGAGACTAAAGTATTCTTAAAATTCTCTGCTTCGTTTTACTTCTAGGGTTAATCTCTGTCCGTGACTTGCAGAAGGATATAGAGCGTAGGCAATTGTTAAATAAATTTGATTCATGTATATCAATGATGCCCAATAGAATCACCTGGTGTGACCCATGCCACACCAATTAAATCACAATCTGTGGGCTTAGGGCCAGGGCATCAGTGTTGTTTTCAAGATACTAAGTGCAGCAATAATCGATAACCACTGATAAAGTTACTTCAATGCCTATTTATACTTTTTAAATTCGGTGATTACAAAACATATACTTTCTTTGAAGCTATACAGATATAGTATCCAAATTGGTGATCACAATTGATTAGTTTAAGTAGCTTCAAAATTGGCATGTGGCTTTCTTGACTAGGTTCCCAGAATCTAGATGTAATAGGTTGGGTGTTGGGGCAGGATGTAGAAACTGTTAACATTGTTCTTGGAGTGCCTGGCTGGCTTGAAGCAAAAGATTGATATACATAAATTTTATTGGATTGTAAGAATAATGATCCTGCGTCTAGTTATGCATCTTCATAGGAAAGGTTTTAAAATGTACTTTCAGGGCATTATATTTGAATCCAGCATTAATAAGCTCTGGAAACAAGAATGGGCTATTTTACTCTTGGTGAGAGGGCCAGAGCCTTACAGATGTATGCATGAGCAAAGGATCACCTGAACCTAATGATTATCTTCCTAATTGGCTCCTGGGAAGTTATGTATAAACATATTTTCATTGAGTCATTACTCTGTTTTTTTCCCCCAAGTTCAGTGGCATTTTCTCTGAAGAGATAATAATAGAGCTACCCTAACAGTGGAAAATAACCTCCAGTAGTCTATTAGAAATGGTTACAAAAAGAAGAAGGAGAAAAAAGAAAAGAATGAGAAGAAATGGAGGGGAAGACAAAGAGAATGAAGAGAATGACGGTGATGACAATAATAAAGAAGGAAGAAGAGGAAGTGGAGAAAAAGAAGCAGGAGGTAGATCAGGAGGAAGAAGAGGAGAAAAAGAAAGTGAAGCAGCAGCAACAGCAGCAGCAGTGGTAGGGTAAATGCCAATGCCAGTTAAGGCTTTTCACAGCGCTCCTTACGACCTCCAAGGGTACCTGTAGAAGTTTGTAGATTCCTGGGCCTCAGGCCATTCCAGAATCAGAATGGGAGGAGCGATGCTTAGGAAGCTGCACTTTAAACTACCTTGATACTTAATCCACGTAAGTATTATGCATAGTAAACCATCTGAAAATGATTGTCCTACAATACGTTGGGCATTAATGCCAGGGATACTGTCCATTTAACTCACGTAGTTTCCAAGTTCCTAGTCTTACCAAAGCAACAAATGGTAATAACATTTTAGGATAACATAAACCTAGAAACATAGGGCTTCTGAGTGTAATCTAAAATCATGGACAGTTCTCTTCAATGCAAAGCAAAGAAAATGGCAGAAGACAGACCAATCATAATGACAGCTAGATTTTATTGAGTACTTACTATGGGCTAAGCAATGTTCTCAGTGCTTTACATAATTTAGTCCATTCAAATCTCATAAATAGTATTATTTCCTCTGTTTCATGAGGAAGCTGAAGATTCAGGAGCTATTCCAGGTAACAGTGCTGGTAAGGGGTAGAGAGGACTCAAATACTTACCTGCTTAAAATATTAAACATCAAACTATTCCACATAAGTGGAAGGTAGAAGAAGCACTACAGACCTGAGTTCTGGTGTTAGCTCTGTGAGATTATCTATGCAAACTCTGTTAGCCTTGCTTACCTGTGACTCAGTTTACTTGCCTGTGAAGTGGGAATGGTAATAATGGTGTAGTGAGAAGCCAATAGATGGAAATCCTTGTGAAAATTGTAAAGTACTGTATAAACATCAGTTATCATTATACTCCTACAATCATGGCTCTTGCAGGCTGGATCCAAACCTTCCCACAGGAAGCTGGGAAATGGAAATGAAGTCATTGTGTTACTACTCAATCACCCATACGCATAATCACAGAAAGGCTGTTTCTAATACCAGGAGGTGGGCAAGGTGGAGTAGCAATCACATTATAAAAAAGTGCCCCTTTTGACTATTTTCTCTGTGTGCCTCATGATCTGACCTCTACTGATGTTGAATGTCAAACGTACTAATGCCTGCTTTCTACATACTTTATACTTTTCCATCATACTTAATAATATTGAGTTTACATAGTCCCTTTTTTTCTAAGGTGCCACTTTCAATAAATGTGTTTAGAGAGGGCAACTTTCTAGTCTTCCCAGAGCCCTTAAACCCATCGCTACTGATTCTCCACCAAGAAATCAGAAGCAAATTGCTCCAAGAGGAAGGATCAGGTTCTCAAGGCAGATGTGTGAAGTTCACCCTGTGAGCCGTGGATAAACTACTTCACTTGCCTGCATTTTAGTGAATTGGAGTTAATAAAACTTGCTCTGGCTCTCTCAACGGGCTTATGGGAAAAGTCAATTGGGAATGTATAGAATTATGAGAGAAAGAAAAAAAAGAGGAAGGGGAACACACTAAAAATTAGTGAGTAGGAAAAAAGGGAGAAAGAGAGGTGAGAATTGAGTGCCAGAGCTAGTCAGTTTTACACTTTGAAATCATCTCTCTGTCCAAGATGCCTCCCTACTCCAGAATTTGACAAACTTGTGTAAGAAACTATTATGTAACTAGGGTGCTATTTTCTCAATAAAAATAACTATCATTTACTTGTACCAGACAATGTTGTAAGTATGTTATGTATAATAACTTCAACAGGTAAATTACTATTATACCCTCATTCCGTAAATGAGGAAACCAAAGCAAAGACATGTTCAAAATGTGTCTGGATGTTCCCAGCTAATAAGTGGCAGAGCTGAGAATCAAATCCAGGTGGTCTGTTTTGAGTCTGCTCTTATATCTGTGCTTAATGCTCTTTGAAATAGTGTTCATCTAGAGTTTGGGCACAGTTTATCAAATAGTGTCAGTTCTTCCATCGACTCTTAACTAGCTTTGCAAATAAAATTAAAGCCATTGCCTCTGCCTTTTCCAGCTGTAGAGCACTAGGAAAGTAGATGCTGGATCATCAACCATTGCACCCATGAAATACTTTCCCATACCTATTTCTTTCCTAGCTTTCTTAACGCCAAACCCTGACATTTCCCCCATGTGTATGTATGGCCCTACCCTAAATGATTGAGTAATTCTGACTGGAGAGTCAGAAGAACTTGAGTAGCCTTAAACGGACCCCCTCACCCTGCTGCCATTTATCCTACCCACCTCCCCCACCCACAAGTCCATCACTTTCCCAAGTCCATGGGCTTAGAAAAAACTTTTGCTACCTGCTCCTCTCCTTGGCATGTAACAACTCAGACCTGGCCAATACATGTTTGCTTGAGTTGGGGCACCCACTGGGCTTGCTGGTCTTAGCCTCTCTCTCTTGCTGTGAGTAAACAGCTACAGCTGCAGCGTGGGTAGGTCTGAACAGTAGAGGTACAAGTCTACAGCAGGGTCCAAGGAAAGAGCTAGAGACACGGATGCTCACAGGAGACATGCAGATACCATAACTGAGTGGAATAAGGCAGGCATAAGAGAGAAGCTCCAAACCCTCAATTCTCTCTGCTATTTTCCCCTTATAGAGTTAAGGATTTCTGAACTCCATTATAAGAAAAAAAAAAAAAAAGGTGGGATAAACATAATTGCAGAAATTCATACTTTGTCTCAGTGTCTGAGAACTGTAGGGGTCACTGTTTCCAGACTAACATTTTCTAGTTTATAAAGAGAAGCCAGAAAACCAGATTTTTGTTAGCTATTTCCTGAGTTTCAGTATCAGAAGCTTACTTAGAACTTTTAAAGTAATGTGCCGTGGGCCACTTCTGCTTTAGTACCTTTGTTTTCTCTTTCAGTTTTACTGATTGTACAATTTTTTTGCCTGTCATAACTGGGATCAGGATTGGTCCCTCTTCTAACCATAATTAGGGACAATTGTTGAAGGTCTTCTTTCCTCTACTTGTTTACAACAGCTTCAAGGATTATATTATTTTAAACAACAAGCAGATTAATCCCTGTGTTCACTGGAGGGAGGTGAGAAACAAAGGGGAAGTTAGGATCAGTCCATTATTATTTATCCCTCAGTGGCACCTGCTAGAAAGCAACCCCGAGGTGACCAATTTCTTACAGTTGGTTCGGGGGTGTGAAGCCTCCACCTTTAACTGTGCCTGATGTCTCTGGGGAAAACACCCTCAGTCTCTTTGCTGGGTGACAAAGGGATAGTTTTCTGCAATAAAGAGTGATGAGGGAAGCTGGGGAAGATTGCTTTTGAAACAGACTTTAAAGCAATCTTTTTTTATTTTCCAACCTATTTGCATCCTAATGTCAAGTTATTTGGTGCCTGCCAATTCCTCAGTCATGGGGAATTCTGAGGCATAGAAAGGGTTAGTTCTTGGCTTTCCCTGCTGCTGGATTAACATTTCATTTTCTTGGGTCTGCTAAATTAGTTGCTTTTTTGCTTTCATAATTTTTTGTGATTGCTTCTACTCCTGTTCTCCCCATTTCATAAGTTTATGTCCTTAAAAAAATCCCTTCTTTGTAGTTTTTGAGGGGTTTTAGTGGGGCATGAAAGGAGACACATATATTTAATCAACCAACTTTACCTGAAAGTATAGTAGCCAAACAAATAGATACACTCTAAGTGTCTTCCGTTACTTGATAAGTTGAAGTATACTTAACACATTTAATGGAAAGCTATGCAACCATTATAAATTATGCCAGTGAACAGTTATTGACATGGAAATATATCAGTATATTAAGTGGAAAGTGATAGGTTAATAGCATTAATAATAGTAGCAAACTAAGCGATTTCTCTGTCCTCACCCTTCTGCTAAGTATCTTAAATGGATTATTTCACTTAATCTCACAGAAAAATCTCCTGACATGTGGAATGAGAAGTTATGAATATCACAAACATAAATGTCTATGAAAGTAAAATTATTTTCATTTTCTCCAAAAATATAAATTTGGAGAGTATTACTACATTATGGCTCTCTGCATCATGAGTTTGTCAATAATTTTTACACCGAAATATTATTTTTCAAATAGTAACTTTACAGTGGAGAAATCTGGTTGATATGATACCATCTTAACCAAGTGATCAGAGATAACATCACTAGTAATTAGACATATGGACACCATGTACCTCCTGATACAAGTCAATGAAAATGACATAACATCACTTATTCCTACAAATGTTTAATCCCAGCCTAATCATTAGAAAACACCAGACAAACCAAAATTAAGGACCATAATATAAAATAACTGAATAGTACTCCTCAAAAGTTTTAAGGTTGTGAGAGACAAAGATAAAATATCCCAGTTTGGAGGAGACATAATAACCAAATGCAATAGGGAGTCTTAATTGAATACTGGACCATAAAAGAAGATATACTAATAGAACAGTTGGAAAAATATAAAGGTCTATAAATGAGTTAAGAATATTGTATCAATGTTAATGTTTTGGTTTAGCTAATAGTAATATGGTTACACCAGATGTAAACCCCAGGGAAAGCTGCATGAACGGTATACACAAGTTTTGTGTACTGTTTTTTCTTAATTTTCTGTAACTATAAAGTTATTTCAAAATAAAAAGTTGGAAAAATAAATTATCTTTTTTTAGTTGGCCAACTATACTATATTCTATTCTGGGTGCCACATTTAAAAAATTCTATTGAAAGACCCTATCCGGACAAGAGCAAGCAGAATGCCAAAGTGTTAAAAAGGTTGGGGATGTTTAACCTAGAGCAGAAAAAAGTTAGGCAAGATATAACAATCTGCCTTCGAAGTATGAATTGCTATCATGTATAAAAGAGATTGAGACTTGTCAGTGTGGTACTAGAGGGCAAAATTAGCATGCTTGACTGGAGGTAGTAATGAGGAAAGGTTTTATAATATCATTATAAGGAAGGACTTTGTAACCATTTCAGCCAATCCAAACCAAAGAATGGGTTGCTTTGGGAGACCAGGAATTGCCTAACAACTTGTTAAAAAATATCACAGAGGAGTGTCATGTATACCAGGCATGTTAAGTAGATCAGTGCGTCTCAAACTTTAATTGCGTATGAATCACTACGGACTCATTAACAATGCAGATTCTGATTCAGTAGTTCTGGGGTGGGGGCTGAGGGTCTGCATTTCTAACAAGCTTCCAAGTGATGCCTATAATGCTGGTATGTGGACAAGACTTTGAGAAGCAAGGAGCTGTATAATATTCAAGGTCACTTTTCAATACTAAAGTCTATAATTCTCATAGAAAGACATACTTCAGGAGCAGAGACAGCAGTTATGCACTGAGAGTTTAATACGAAAATGGCAATGTTTGAGAGCACAGAGGAAGCAAGAGCATTGCCTGCAAGCAGAAGCAGGGATGCTCTGCAACTCACTCAGTAAATGCATATTTTAAAAGAACCTGTTAAAGAAAGAACCTAAATACTTGTATATGGCCACATTTAATTATCCATTTTCATTAGAAAAGATCAATTATTTCTAGCAAGTGGAATTTATGGCACTCACTGCTTCCATTTTAATAATTCAATTCAATTCTACATTAAATTCAAGATTTTGTGTTTATCTAGTTCATTCAGCAAAAATCCTTCATAATTATTCATCCACCTCAAAGCCTTTGCAGTGTATAGACTTTGCTTTTTTACTCTTTTACTTCCATTTCTATAGGTCAGAGCATCCCAACCAGTAGAATTAAAGATGTCCCTCAAGATATTTGGTCTTCTAATCACTTGGGAAGGCCAGGTGAGTAGCTTGTTGCTGAGCTCTTGGAACTCAACCAAGTCGTGTCCACCACCTTGATGCTGTATTTACTTCAGCAACCTGCTGCAAGCATGTCTATTTCCATCATGTGAAAAGTGTCTGTGGATCTGCTGGAGGAGTTCATACTCTAAGTACTTAATTAGCATAGCACACCCACCAAAATTTGGTCACGGGAGGAGATATCATGAGAAAGTAATTCAGGGACTTCTGGCAGGTGTATCTTTAAGTGGTAACCCCAATATCAGTCTTTGTGTATACTAGATACTTTTCTCAATTTGTGGTAAAGTTGGTAGATGGTAACTTCTCTAAAAGGTGTGTGTATTTTCCAATTTACAATTTCAATATTATTTTGTCATACTTGACCTGTAAAATTTAGATGGATTCTGAATCTATAGGCATTTTCATATAGAACTCCAATGATAAATATGTCAAGAAAATAAAGACGGCTATATTATTTAAAATAGAATTTTGCAAAAAAGTTTCATTGACAGCAGCTATTAAGAATATAAAAAGATCATTTGTCATTAAAATGTTTTAATTAGAAATGATATATAGCCTTTTTAAGCATAAAACTTCAGATAAAAACTTATATTGGTGAAAGCATATTCAGATTTCTCAATTTAAAGTTATTAATATGCAATTTAATGTATTGCCCAAAATGTTATATTTTATTTTGTTATCATAATTGTATCATGTAAAGAAAATGTTATGAATCTCTTCACCCAGCTCCATACAGATGTCTTCAAATTTCCTCCAGTTTACCCCAGTGTGCCACACAAATATTGTTATTTTCTATGTTGGAAAACACTGCTATAGGTAGGTTTGCCCCTATAATGTGTTCTGCTACCAAAAATCTTCTAGTTTAATTACAGACTAATTTGTTACACCTTTGAGTTAATGTGCAGTTAATGTTACCCATAGCAAACAGGCAAGTCTACATGATAACTGGAAAATGTTAAACCTACATTATTTCCTTACCCATTCTTTAACATCTCTTGAAGATCTAGGAATATTATTCTGTTATTCTGTGGGTCTAGAAATGTTTTTCTTGGCCCAAATGGTTACACTGTGTCCACTTTGTGATAAATATTGGGTACATTGTTTAGTATGCCCAAGGGTATATGTTTTATTTCGTAGTAACAAAATGTTTAAAACATTTGTTTCCTAAGACTAAAGAGATATGGTGATCTATAGATCTCCTTTGAGCATATTCTTACTTCCTGCTCTTAATAGCTTCTTTTACTCTCCAAGAAACCTTAATGAATGCTTAGCTGTATCACTGGGCAGTTGTGAGCATCATGAAAGGCATGGCAATCACTTGATAACTTATAATGGAAACACGTCCTCTTAATTTCTGGAGTATCCGGTTTTCTATATAAATTAATCACATGAATCAAATGCTATTAAAACCAACTTAAGGGTGATAATTGGCTCTTCCAATTTATAATACGAAATATAACACTGATGGGCCTGGAGGTCACTACCATGATCTACAAATCAGGGTAGGACTAGCCCTTGAAACAAAAAGTTAAAATGGATTCTAAATCTACTTGCACCTCTAGTCTTGGCAGAAATTTATTTCTTCTGCATGCCAGAAGTTCTGGCAAAGAGGTTCATAGGATAAAAATCAGACAATAGCAGATTAACTTACTGATATCTGTATTGTGTGGATGAGGATATTATCTTCTTTTTGTGAGAGTTTACTTGGCCCTGTTAGGTATATAAACCAAATGTTTATTCCAGGCTTCTATGGTGCTCCATTTAAGACAAATGCCTCATTAATGAGAGAGACACGGACCCTATTGCCAACACTCTGCCAAACTGATTTACTTGAACAATAATAAGAAAGGGACAAATATGTTCCTCCTCTGACACATCTACCGTTATAAAACATTTGCCCTGGGCTTCTCTTGCCTTGCTAGTGCACAGTTAGTGTCTGTCTGCTGTGAGAATGAAACACCCTTGAGAGCTTGAGGCCACAACTCAGGCCGAGGTGTGAAGGGAAAAGAAGACAGCTTACCCAGCCATCAACATTCACACATGTGGATTTACAGAACAGACAACAAAGCTATCAATCGGAGCCCATTCCATTTCATCTCATGTGAGTTACATTATTGTAAAACACTTAACCATGTCACATGGCTTATTAACATTGGCATTTGATTTTGTAAAGATGCTTTATGTTTAAAGAAATTATGTAGTGCACATTTCTGCAAACGTGGAGGCAAATGAAAAATTAGCACTACAGAGCCTGATCCTCCACCAAGTCTTGTCTCATTTGCTTCTTGTAAGGAACATCTCTTGCTTCCTTTCTCCACTTGTTTATATGCTTTCTTTCCAACCTTCTCCCCTTTCTTCTATTTCTACAGCATAGATCGCGCCCTCGGGCGGTTGAGCTTTAAAAAACAACAACAACAACAACAAAAAAAAAAACAAACTTCCCAGGTGCAGCATACTCTCTCAATTCCACCTCCCGGCGATTTTACTTTTGGCCTGAGTCCAACACGTTCCCAAGAGCTGGACACAAGTTGTCACGATCATGAACCTAACCACACTCCCCCCTGCGGCCAATTTCCTATTTTGCTGTTCAAAAGAGGGAAATGCACATATCAAAAGGAAAACAGCTTGGTGCTGGCCAGCTGCAGAAGGGTGGAGGTCTTTGGTGCTCAGAAGAGAGAGCAGCTCCTGCGGCAGTCCTGCGTGTGTCGCTGTCCAGACCTCGGTGCTGAATACTAGGCACTGGTATCTCCCGCCAGGTTCAATCCCTCAGGGTTCGAATAGGCTCCACCATGGGAGACTGAACTCACTTCCCTAGGGTGAGGGGTGGAGAATTCATTTAGATGTTTCCTTGCTCTCCTCCCACAGGAAACCATTTTTCCACAAAGAGGCATTGTGCATTTTATGGGAAAGTAATGGCACAGCTCCAGCTCAGCACCAAAGTGAAGAGCTCTACTGAGGCACAATGGAAAGTCGAGGTAAATAAAAACTGCTCTTTCCCTCCCTGAATCAACACAACAGCTTTTGGGATCCTAGATCCCCTTGTTGACGAATTCTTAAAAATATGTTTTTTTAAAATCACATGATTAATCATTTTACTGATAAACACCCTAAAAGGTGGTGGTGGCGCTGGCTTTGCAATATCGGAGTATAACTACTGATATTGTTTTACTGAGGTTGAGAAACAAAGGGGAGGAGGGAAGTAAACTTGTAAACTAAGGTGGCTTGAATGGTTAAAAATTCATTTTTAATAGTATTGCTTTAACATAGACATGCTAATTTTCTCAGACAATTTAGAACAGAATTGGGACAGTAGTAGCTTCCCTTCTTCTCCTTACTCTCCTAGCCTCTCTCTTTGAAAGACCTAAGAGCCTTGTTCTTCATAGCAGGTGCTGATGCCCAAAGGGCCATTATAAGAATCCTATAGCCTCCCCCCCTCCCCGCCACACACATGAGATAATAAAGTAAATACAGAGAAAATGGATGGAAGGGAGGGAAAGCACTCCCAGCCTTTGATTCTTGGTAGTTATGTTCAAGTGGGGCACTTCTCTTTGAAAAGTGAAAATGTTTCTCACGGTACAGAATTTATGGGCAGACAAGGAGCAGACTTAACTGATCCCAGCAAACAGTTCCTTCCTTTTCCTAATCCCTGGCTGCTTATTTTAGCCGCTTCTCCGCCCCGCCGGGAATACCATTCGGATCTTAGTCCAGGTAGATCTGACGTCAAGAGATGGCTTTCGTCGATTTGACGTGTAAACACTCATTTCCATTCTGGCTGGGAAGGGCTGGGGCTCCACTCAGCCTGGAGACCGAAGCGCTTCACTGAGCGCTCGCCGCCGCCCAGCCTCTCCTCTCGCGCCTCCTAGCTCTTCGCAGAGCAACCAGGAGCCAGGAGTGGTCTAGAGCCCGAGGGTGGGAAGGGGGAGTCTGTCTGGCTTTTCTCCTATCTTGCTTCTTTTTCCTCTTCCCTTCCCACTCTTGTTCAAGCGAGTGTGTGAGCTATGGAGCGAAGAGCCTGGAGTCTGCAGTGCACTGCTTTCGTCCTCTTTTGCGCTTGGTGTGCACTGAACAGTGCAAAAGCGAAAAGGCAATTTGTCAATGAATGGGCAGCGGAGATCCCCGGGGGCCCGGAAGCAGCCTCGGCCATCGCCGAGGAGCTGGGCTATGACCTTTTGGGTCAGGTAAGAGTTTCCACTTTCAAGAAACTTTCTGGGGCCCCAGGGGACTGGCGGGACTGGAGCGCGGTCTTCCAAGTGGGAGCCCCAGGTTGCACTCTCCAGAGCCCAGAGTAGCAAAGAGCAAGGAGCTGCTCCAGCCCTCGCCCCTGTCGCGCTTGGAGAGAGAGAAAGCTTGCATTATTTACTGTTTAGGCTGGGCGCAGCCAAGCAGAAGGAAGCCGCTGCAGCTGGGTAGGGCTTATGCTTACTGTTGGCCGCTCTAGAATTGAAATCCGTTCCCGCGCGGTTTGGAAGAAAAATCCCTCCACGCTTGTTCAGGGAACTTGAGATACACTCAAGCTCTTACCAACCAAGCGCCCCCGGGAGAAGCAGTGCGCTCCATCCCCCGGGACTGAGGCGGTCTGCGTCAGGAGCCGGCTGTTGCCTTCTTTTCAATATGGCAGCATCAGATCCAAGTCCTGATGCAAGGGGCTAAGCAGGCTTGGGGCTGTCCGCCCTGGCAGCCTGTAAGGGCACGCCCAGGGCATTGGAAGAGTGCCAGCTGCTGGGACTCGCGACCAGGAGGTTGGGAGGCCGCGGAGTAGCCTGGGAAGCTGGGGGGAGAAATGGTGGGTGAAAGACACGGGACCATCTATCCCCGCGACTCTCTAGGGAGCTCCGGCTTTTCACTGGGAACTTATAAAGTCCAAGCTTCATAACTTTGCCCGGCCAGTCCCACTGCAGGGTCGAGATGCCGAACTGACTATGGGGAAGGGATCTATTTCTTTCTTGTTCTTCAGCCAAGTACGTAATCGTTTTCCCGGGAATTTCAGCTTATTGTTGCCTGTCCAAGTGAAGGCTTGGTCGATAGGTAGCTGGTTGGAGGTGGGTGGGCGTCAAGACATTAAGTGGGAGACTGCTTATAGCTGAGCGATTCCGAGGGGACCCTAGGGAGTGTGACTTCTAGTCTAGAGCTTTCCTTTCCTTGGCTCGGAATCAAGCCCTCGCCCCCTGCTTGGGAAGTTGGTCTGCATTGAAGCGTGGGAGGAGGCAGTTGTAAAACATTTTGGCGCGTTTTTTCTGGAGGTGGTGGTTGAGACGCCGCTGGAGTCACGGATGAGTAATCGGCGGGGGCGTTGGCGATTCTGTAGACCGAACCCTCTGGGGAATTCGCCTGCTCTTGCTAGAGGCTTCATTCTCAACTTTATAAACCAAATTGTCTTTGAAATGCCCGAAAGGAAAATCAATGCAGATTGGCTTCCTGGTGTCCCAGCAGCAGATGAGTCTTTTGCTTTTGGCCAGCCCTTGCCCTCGTGCCAGGCTCCGTGTTAGGGGCTGAGGAATAAGAGGAGGGAAAGAAACGCTCTCAAGTAATCAAGAATCTAGAGGAGACTAGCTTAGAGATAAATGATTGCAACTGATTGTAATTTGTGTAATCATAGAAGTTGTACTTGAAGTCTCAATATTCATTGGTTGAAGGAATGAAAGTAGTAGGGAATTCGGGAGGGGTGAATGAAAACTGCCCAAAGGAGAAAACATTTGCTCCGGGAACAGAAGTCAAAGGTTGCCAGGAGCACATAATGAGATCGGAGAAGACAGTCTAGGCATAGAAAACAGCTTGTGGGAAAACAGTGAGACATAATACAGTTTAGTAGTAAGTCTGGGAATTGCACGCAATTATTAGGAATTTTTGAGACCCAAAGAGGGTATGAGTAGCAGAGGAAATTGTGCTGGTGGGTACTGTGGACATCATACAAATCATGTATGACCTATGGGGGTGGACACTGGGGATTTAATTGTGTATTCCTTGAGCAGCTACTGAAAGGCTAAATAGCACTGGTAACCGTGTAGGAGGAGACTGGGGAAGACAGCAAAAACTAAATCTCTCTTCTTTTTCCCACCTGTTAGCTCTAGGCATGCATCTAAACCTAGACCATTCAATGTGAAAACTGCTTTTCAAAATAAATAAACATAAATCTTAATAGTAAAAAACAATACATCATCATTCTTGGGAGGATCTTTGAGTAAGGGATAGCATAGTCACAAAAGCATTAACAAATAGTGGGGGAAAACCATCTATATTTATATATGATTTACAATACTATCTTTCCTCTAACCATTTTTAGTTAAGATGGCATTACTAACAAAAGTTTTAAAACAAACTTAACAAAATTATTTTATTAGAATAATAATTCTTTGTAGAAGGCTGATAGCACGTTCCTGGTTCTGCTTATTTCTCTTTTTGTTTAATATTACTAAAATTACACTAATTTAGCATTACTATATTGGGTACCTTATTGCCTCAGGATAAAGCTTGGATTAAGGTAGTGACAAGAAGAAAAACCAGTTGACAGCAGAGAAAACAGAGCTAAGCACTGGTGATCTTTTTCTGCGGCTGCTGATTTCTCTCCCCAGTTCCATCCACAGCTTATAGGAAGATTCACTGAGATTCAGGCTTGGAGCAGGGCCTAAGCTTCTCTATTTTAAAATTCTCTGGGCGATGAGAATCACCAATTTAAAGAACACGTTTCTTCTGTAATATACTGTTGTCAACTGTTTGTTTCTTAATTTTAAAAATGCAGGGTTACCTAGAGGATTTGGTAGCCTCAAATTTAGTACTGAGTAAAGGGAGACTAGCTCAAAAGAATAATGAATATAGTCCTAAATGAACCAAAGATGTCAATAGATACCCGGAGAAGTACAAACCCTCTAAAGTGGGACAACTGCCCTAAATGTAGCATGTTCTTTTCTGAAAGCCTTGAATTAGTGGAAAATCAAACGATCACTAATAGTGGCTAATAGCAATTTATCACTATGAATTCAATGGCTACATTTTATAACAACGATAATTTATTTTAGTGGAAAGTGGCACTGACCATAGATAGTATCCCAGGTGTTTGCCTGCTTACCACAAATAATTGTTCTTTGAACAGATATATTTGATTAAATGAGCATTTTAATATGATATTGTCACACATGAAAAACATGTATTTCCTCCAATGTGTGTAAAATAGAAGCATCACTAGCCTCCTACTGTGAGCTAATGAATATACTGTGAACTCAAGCAATAATATTCTGAGGGTCATCTTAAGACCTCTATCAGTGCCTTCTTCATGAAGAATGTGGATGGAGCTGGAGGCCATTATTGTTGGCAAACTAACACAGGAACAGAAAACCGAATACCGCATGTTCTCACTCACAAGTGAGAGCTAAATGATGAGAACACGTAAATACATAGAGGGGAACAACATATACTGGGGCCTTTTGGAGGGTGGAGGGTGGGAGAAGAGAAGGGATCAGAAAAAAATAACTAATGGGTATTGGGCTTAATACCTGGGTGATGAAATAATCTGTACAAAAATACCCCGTGACACAAGTTTACCTATGTAACAAACCTGTACTTGTACTGCTGAACTTAAAAGTTTAAAAAAAGAAAAAAAATATTAATTTCAGATACCAGGAATGGGCTTAATAAAAGTTGCCTATCTCTAAGTTAGCTGAGTTTTAAACTAGTCCATATATACTTGTTTGGGAACGTGGATATTTATTTTATTTCTTTCCTTTTATAGATTGGTTCACTTGAAAATCACTACTTATTCAAACATAAAAACCACCCCAGAAGGTCTCGAAGGAGTGCCTTTCATATCACTAAGAGATTATCTGATGATGATCGTGTAAGTGTTGTACATTTGTCTTCAAACCAATACTCTAGCTTATCTGCTTTCTTTATGATTTCTAATAAAAACAGAAGCATTTTGCAAATGTGGTTTTTTTTTTATTGTGACCAAGATTGTTTATCTGTATTATTTCTAATTTCTTTCCATAAAATTATAATGGCACATAATAATAACAAGATTGGGTTGAATTGGTTGAGCCAAAGTTAATTTTACACATATATACGCAGTTTAATTATATAATTACATATATATCTAAAGTTAATTTTATATGTACACTCACAAATTCAGTCTAAGAGCATGAAAGTGAATATTTAAAATGAGAGGGCAGCACTAATAAAAATGTTTGACAATACAGTCAATCAACAACCTTTTATTAGGTACCTATTATGTACCAAACACTTTAATACCAATGTGGGCTCAAAGAAATACATGGGCCTTACTTTCAATAACATTTCAGTATAACTGAAAAAAAAGTCTATTATTTCTATTTGGTTTTGCTGTATAAGGAGCTAGTGTTTATGAGAGAACTGTAAATCCATGTCTTCATGAGGCAAATGTTTCCATAAGTAATCTATTGTTGGATCCAAACCATCTGATCTCTTTTCATCCTAGTTTGTATCTTGGTTCAATGATTAGGTTACAGCAGAAATAAATATAGGTAAATAAGGTAGAGGCAGTTTGAATAGATAGCTAATGTACCTATTGATTTTGAAGTCTATTTTCAAGGTCAACAAACATATTAGAAAATGTTTACTATGTTGGGAGTATTGTAATTTTCATACAGTGTTGCCTTTTCTCAAAGAAATGCCATACTGGAAGAAATTTATCCTGATTCGCCTGATATCTGTGTACATAATTTTTGTTACCTAGGACAACCTGGAGAATTAGAATGAGAGATCCTCTTGGTGAGAGGATTAAAAACATCCTTTCAACTTCCCAGGGGGAAAATATATATATATGTATGTGACAGAAAGGTGATAGAACTGTTGAAAGTAGACGAAATTCATGAGGACTGTAAGATAATTTGCCCTTTTATTCATTCTGAAACTGATAGAATTTTTAAAAGAAGAAGAAAAAGACAAATTATGAGGGTAGGGAATGGGAATGGCCTGGGTCACCAGTGTTCGAATGTAAAAGAAACAACAACATCCTGACAATGCTGTATTAGGACCACGGACAGTGACCGTATAGCTCATCTACACCCACTGCTAGCTCTTTTTTGTCAAGTTATTGCTTGATGTGGGAGACCAAATCAGAGGCCCTGGACCTTATTACAGAAGTTTCTTGTCCACTGAGGTCTTCCCTTACTCACTTCAAGGGAGAGGGCTCATCGTGTGTGGGCTCTGAAAAGCAGAATAACTTCTAGCACTCTGGCTAGGCTTAGTCCCCGGGCTAAGCAGAAGAGAGATTTCCTTCTTTGCCTAAATGCATGCCCAAACTGCATGCCCATTAATGCACATAGAACTCAAACTGACCTGCCTTCTCACTTTCATAGGAGAAAATTGGACAGAATAGAGCATACCTAACTGTTATTCTTACTCAAAGTATCTCATGACAATGAAGATGGCCCATTCTACTCTTTATACATCCCCTTGATAGCTGATTTGGTGGGGGAGGGGTGGAATCTCAAGACATTATGAAAAAATGCTAAGAATTCCTTCTCCAGCACAGGTATAACTTTGTAAAAAATTAGCCCAAGAATAATTTTATTTTAGGAAACATTCTGGAACCATAGAAACTTGCATTGGAAGGTTGAATTAGATGATCTTCAATGCTCTTTCCAGATCAAAAGTATTATTTATAATTAAGTACATGATACCTATAATGCATAATAGAAAGACACTACCAATTTTCCTCTATACCATTCAGCCTGCTCTTCTAGAGATTAATACATGATTCTGAGTTAATGACATTAATCATAACACTGTTTTCTACAATTGGATGTTTATCTGATCAGACGGCAGAGTGCCTCCTCTTATATCCCATTTCCAAAAAATTGCTCTTGGTTTTCATTTTATTGCTCTTTTTTGATGGAGGATAATATTCTTTCAAATCAGCCCTGTGAAATGCAGCAACAGTCTATCTTTACAAGTCTGTTAATAAAATCTCCAAGTGTAAGTGACCCTCTACCTCAAAGATTAGTACTTATTCCCTAGCAGTCAGCTTCCAGAGATCAACTCAGATGATAGGCAGCATTCCAAGCATTGAGGTATTTTAAGCCAAAACAATTAAGCTTGAAAATACAAGCACTTTAAAAATAAATCATAGTGACTAATTTCTAGCTTTCAGGTTCTTCCCATTATTTTTAATAGGTTTGCAGTATATTTTTAATTGAAAATTGAGGGCAGTCTTAGTGGATGGTTTTATCCTTCAGTTGCAAATTATTTTTCGGTTTTTATTTTTGGAGCTGATTCATGAGTACTCTCACATTAACAATATTCCACCACACACTGAATTGTCATCATGCATACAGCAGAAAAGATGTGTTTGGGGTAGGAAATAGTCATATTGCCAAGAAAAATAAGAGTATAGAATTATCTCATAATGAATATAACTACAAGGCAGCCCCTCACTCTCTCAGGGCTTCAAGTATAATAGTATTATGCTGTAAATATGGGGCAGGTAATTTTCGTATTGTCAGATCTCTTTGCATAATACATGAGACTGAATTAATGGTAAGTGTGCGTGGTCAGTAGTGCTCATTCATCACCCAGGATCTGTGTCTCATATTAAATACTTTTAAGCAGAGGTCGAAGCACAGGGGAGGGAGTTTCAAATTTGCATGGATACAGCACCATTCTTACTTTATAAAATATTTGCAATTTCTACCTGTTGTATGTAAAGACAGAGAAATTAATCTATAAAAGCATTATAACAGCAGTCTCTTGGCTTGTTGACTCAATCCATAAAAGCAGACAAATTTTCAGCCATGGAGCCCTGAAACCTCAATATAAAAATGAGTATTATGGTCCATTTGCTGATGAAAGCAGACTGAACTTTTGCTTCCACTGTAACCACAATGTAAATAATTTAGGGAATTATCATTTCACTGACTGCTTCTCCTCCCCCTAAAGGTGCACTTTACTGTAATAGAGGAAATATTCATCTCCCCAGTGGGCAATCCCTTCTTCTCACTGAGGTGCCAGTTTAATCTGTAGTCAAATGAAAATATTGCAGAGCTGCCTGAACTCTGATGGGAAGGGTACTGGAGATAGTTAGAGGAAGTATACAGAGGTAGATATTTGACTTTTGATTTTCTTGCTATAAAAATCCTTGTAGGTGATATGGGCTGAACAACAGTATGAAAAAGAAAGAAGTAAACGTTCAGCTCTAAGGGACTCAGCACTAAATCTCTTCAATGATCCCATGTGGAATCAGCAATGGTACTTGGTAAGTACCTACAGAAGGACTATGTGGGTGGGACCTGGGACCTGGCTTCTTTATGTTGTTACATTTGCAACATGGATTTTTTTTTTTTTTTATGATGGAGAATTTCATAGGGAGCTATATTGTCTGGAGATTAGGGCTGATGGGATCTTCTTGATCTGCCTCTTCTGTTTTGCTGAGTAAGGATGTTGGAAACAGATATCTTTAGCTGCTGTGAAAAAAATAGGTTGTATTTTTTGTCTTCTTAAGTTTATTTGGGATAAATGCAGAAAAATAATATCTTGCAGGTTAGGGTTTCCAAAAACAGTACTTGTGGCAAAAATCTCATTTGGTTAAAGTTATTCTTCAGAACCCTTTAAAGCACTCACAGAGTATAGTGAACATAATTTGGCATATACAACCCTGAATGACAATTCTTATATGACACAGATGAGAATCTCTGAAAGAGGTTAAAAGAAGGAACACAAGAAAAGTCTATTGCAAATGTCTAGACTTGCAAACCATTCTACCTTTAAGATAGTTACCAAATCCTTGAGCGAAGAAATTGTTAAGTGTTGCTGTCTACCTGCAGGGTGTCCTCTCTTCTGTTTAATGTTACGTCTGTATGGTAGTAGTATAGGCTAATAGAAGGATTTGTTGTTGAGAATTTTATAAAAGATTATTTCTCTTGAAAAACACAAGCTAAGACTTTGATACTCTTGTTGCATAAGGGTTAGAAAAGGGGATCAGTTTCTCTTGACCCTACGTTTTCTTTCTTTCTTTCTTTCTTTCTTTCTTTCTTTCTTTCTTTCTTTCTTTCTTTCTTTCTTTCTTTTCTTTCTTTCTCTTTCTTTCTTTCTTTCTATCTTTCTTTTTTTTTTTGACAGAGTTTTGCTCTTGTTGCCCAGGCTGGAGTGCAATGGCATGATCTCAGCTCACTGCAATCTCTGTCTCCTGGCTTCAAGCGATTCTCCTGCCTCAGCCTCTGGAGTAGCTTGGATTACAGATGCCCGCCACCATGCCCAGCTAATTTTTGTATTTTTAATAGAGATGGGGTTTTGTCACATTGGTCAGTCTGGTCTCGAACTCCTGACCTCAGGTGATCCACCCGCCTTGGCCTCCCAAAGTGCTGGGATTACAGGCATGAGCCACCGCACCGGGCCTCTTGCCACTATCTTAAGTATTTGCTCATTGCAGCAGAAGAGACTTATCAGTTAACACTTGTGCATTTCCTGTGTGACAAACACTATTCTAAAATGTTTGATATGAATTAATTCATTTTGTTCTCATGATTGTCTGTGTTGTAGAAATAGTAATTATGCCCATTTAACAGATGGAAAAACAGAGATATTGGAAAGTAGAATAATTTGCCAAAATCCATGGCTGCTAGTGGTGGGACTATAATTCACGACTCCAGAGTCCATACTCTTAACAACTACAGTCTAAAATTGTTCCTGCAACTGACATAGAGGCCTTCTTCTCTGACTTTGGCCAACAATCTGTGTACAGTTCCAGCCTCCTGTGATTCAGCTTCATACCAGCCTGGCAAATACTTGTCACCCCACCCCCCAACCTCTTTATGGGGAGGAGGGCACAAAAGCAAGAGGGCAGCTCCTTCACTGACACTTTTGATTGTGGTTATTTATAGATTTCTTATTGACCCTTTCACCGGGTACCTGGCATTCTTTTACTGTCTCTGTCTCACATGCTTAGAAATGTGCTTATATCTGTGTTCCCTTGCTACCCTGTACTTATCTCCTGTACAGTCCCACACTCTGACTATCAGAAAATGTATTTTAAAAGGAAAACCCTGAATCTCCTCTCACAGACACTTACCCCCTAAATCACTCATACTTAAAAATAGGCAATCACATTGCAATTCCTGAGGCAATCACAGTCTCCTGAGCATTCCAGGTTCTGCTTTTTCCTTTAGAATAAAAATTCTAAAACATTCATGAATGACTATGCACCAGGCAATATAATGAGAGCTCAATGTGGCAATGGAGAATCAGGATTTGGGGGGAGATGAAAACATCGACTATCAAATAGAGCTTCCATAGATGAAAGGGTTGAGCATGTTATTATAAATGAAAGAAATTTAGGGATAAAATTCTTCAAAGCCATGTAGTTCAAAGAGAAGGAGCACAGGTGATTCATCTTTTCAAGTGATGTCCATTTGGGACAATCGGGAGAAGAGCAGCACTCTGGGGGTTCATTTGGCCTTACTCTCAACTTTGTTTTCTCATTTCACTGAATTGGCTTCTTCTAAAGAGTAGAGTGACCCAAGGAAAAAGAAAGATGGGTCTCCAGGTTGGAACTGAAGTGCCCATTTTGTAGCAAGCAAATGATAATTTTATCAATGCTTCGTTGTTTTTCTTTACCAGCAAGATACCAGGATGACGGCAGCCCTGCCCAAGCTGGACCTTCATGTGATACCTGTTTGGCAAAAAGGCATTACGGGCAAAGGAGTTGTTATCACCGTACTGGATGATGGTTTGGAGTGGAATCACACGGACATTTATGCCAACTATGTAAGTGTGTGCCTTCTCATGACTGTGACTTAGGGAGCTGTCTGTGCAGACACACAGTTAGGGCTTTCCTTCTTTTCAAGGGGATGCTGCTCTGGTGTCAGTCCCTGGGATTATGGGCCAAGGTTATGTCCCTTCTCCCACTTCCCACTAGCTTATATGAATTTATTTTGTACCAGTGGGCATTGAAATAATTCAGTGGGATCAAAAATTGTACAAAAGTATATGTGTTGGGAGAAGAAGGGGCAGTGCCTACACCAATTAAGTTACCAAAATCTGATGACTTTGAGTTGCTCAGTGTTTGGGGCATTAAAGTAATCAAATCAAGCCCCTTGCCTGAGATCATTGTCACAGTTTCCCTCCTCACCTCTTTTATGAGTCTATATCCCTGACATTGTAAAATTATATGAATGTGATTCCTTCCATGCAAATCCAAAGTGAATACCACACAATGCACCTATGCCAAGCTGAGAAAGGAAAAGTTTTCTAGAAATGGGAAAATAAATAAATAAAAACAATTTGCTTCATTGTTTATTAAGTTTATAATATAATATGAACACCATCATATATCTTAGGTCTTTAGATCAGGAGGCTGGTGTTTCATCTTTCAGATTATCCCTTGTTTTTCTCTCATCCTTTCCACCTATCAAACATTCCCCAGCTATAACACCAAGCTAAAGAGCCAAGGAAAAGAGAAGGAAAAATAGTAGCACAGAGTAGAAATTAGGAATGATTGAAATATACGGAAAGCATTGAAAAGTAACAGTAAGGGTATGCGGGAGGCGTTTAAGTGTAGCTATTGGGTTGGAAAAGGGAGTGGAGCCTGGAAGCTTGTCTTGAATTTCAAGCACCCTCTCTCAAATTAAATTACATGTTTATTTAGTGTGCCTGGGAGGCTGAAGGAGAGCACCATGGACCTGAGTCCCACCCTCAGCCACTTCTTTGCACCTATATTCATAAGAGAGATGAGTGTCAAAGTGTCACTAACTAGCTTTATGGCCTTAGGGAAGTCATTTAACTTCTCTGGGCCTCAATTTTCTCATCTGAAAACTGAGATGACTGAACTAAGTAAACTAATTCCTTCCAACTCCAATATCCCATGAGTGCCTGTGAACCATAGGCTTGGTAACATTCACTGAGAATTGAATGCTGGCTCACCTGGCTGTGTTCATCATCTCTGCCTGGTTTGTGAGTAAAATAAATATTCAGTGACTCGGCCAGAAACTCTAAAATGCAGGCTTTTGAGCTATCAGCCAGGATGGGAAGGCATAGGGTAAGAGGCTTGGGAAGTGATGCTTTTTTTTTTTTTTTTTTTTTTTTTTAATGCTGCCACAGTGTTATATTTTGTTGTCTCTTTAGGATCCAGAGGCTAGCTATGATTTTAATGATAATGACCATGATCCATTTCCCCGATATGATCCCACAAACGAGAACAAGTGAGTAAATATGCATTTGTGTGAAATAAAGTACTTTACAATGCTTTTATCTTGTTTGAGAAAATTATACCATATATTTCATCCACATTCCAGTGCTCAGGAAATGTTAATGCACAACATCCATACCACAATATTTTGTTGCTTTTAAAACAGAAACCAAAGTTTCTATTTTTATATTCCCTTTGGTTTATAGAACCATATTTTCATTAAACTTCTTACATTATGAAATTCTCCTCTCAAATGTTACTGAACTGTTGTAGCTTTAGAAAGAATGTTTGAGACATAAAGAGTACACACTTTGAGCCCATCCCTCCCCTCAATTCCTCTATGAATCTTTTACTCTTAGCAACATGCTTTATGTTAGTCATGAAAAGAAATATATGTAAAGAAATGGATATGAACAATGCCCACAACTTCTGACGGTGGCTACAGTCACCTTCACCAGTTCTCTCAGAAGAGCATGGCCAAACTCCAGACAGAGAAATGCCTCTGAGGTCTGGCCCCTGAATCCAACACAGTCTCCAGGGCATTGAGCCAGCCGGAAGTCTCCTCCAGAGTTCCTGCTGCTATAAGGCCATAGGAAAGAGAGAGGAGACAGCACCCGACTCCCAGATTAACTCTCTGTCCCTTGAAGCCACATTATGGTGAGAGAGGCCAAGAGCCACAGAGGCCAAGAGCAAGATCTTCTAAAGGGAGAGGTGAAAGAAAGACCCAGAGGCAAGAGACTTTCAACTTCTCTCCTAGCCCCAAAGAAACTTCACGCTCTAGGCATGTGGACCCTCAAAGTGTCCATGCCCATGGGAGAGACCATCTTTGCTCATACCGATGTTCTCACAGACATCAAGGAGACACTCAAACTTTCCTTTTCATTTTCTCTACACAGAAGAGACTTGCACCAAAATGATCAAAGCCAAGGTCAAAATTAGGGCTTGTTGCTACAAGTGAGGATGGAAAAAGCCAAGCATCTAACAGCTCTTGGTATATGTCACATGAAGCGCTTCTTTATTCTCTCTGGATGGCACTGTCTCTTGGACTGTTACCCAACTTGGGTCAGACAAGTCTGTCTCTGTCTCTCTCTCTCTCTCTCTCTCTTTCTCTCTCTCTCTCCCTCTCTTCCTTCCTCCCTCCCTCCCTCCCTCCCTTCCTTATTCTCCCTCAGAACTCCCAAGTGGCTGGTGCAGTAATACTGATCTAAAGTTATTTCTTTCTTTGGATAGTCTTCCCTCCAGAAAGCCAACAAACCCCAGGATGGGAGGCTGGGGTACATGGACTTGGCCTCAACTTCTGGGTGTTTATTTCTTCCTTGGGGAAAATGGGAGGCTTGTGGATAGTTCAGGGATATGACTTCTTTCCGTACCATTTATTTCTTTGAGGGTGACTAAAGGGGTTAACCGCAAATATCCCTTAGAGGTGAAAACATTCCAGTAAAAACACAATAGGAACCACTGGCAAGGGTACCTTTGGAGCAAAGTGGGAGTGTTTCGAGAGCTTACAGCAGACCCTCAGACAAACTTTTTGCTATATGTCTGAAGCAGGATAATGCAGGACCAGTAAGGACATCTACTCTTTTGGGGCACAGCCTTGCAATGTAGTTATGGCTTTGCCAATTCCCAGAGTAAAGGGTGACCTTGGAGAAATCACTTACCTCTCTCTGCCTCTATTCCATTTTCTTCCCCTAAACTGGGTGACAACGTACCTTCTCCCTATGTTTCTTAAATGAACTTCCTGAGGAAATGGCTAATAAGCACTTGGAATAATAAGCCTTCTTAGAGTGGAGTAGAAACAACTTTCATTCCACCCCCTTGGTTAAGACTACGGGAAATCTGTTCCCAGACACTTGAGGAGACTTAGATGGAGGCACTGGCTCCTTCCTAGGCAGTATACGGTCCTTCCAGGCAGATCCTGGGTCTGGCCCCAGGATCCAGTGTGGGTGATAACTTGTACGATGGCTGCATAGTGGGCGAATTCTTGATGAAATGACATTCTCTGGAGTTTTTCCAGTCAGGAGATGGAACACTCAGACCTTCCTCAAAACAAAGGGGATCTCACAGCACAGCATTTATAATAGTTGTTTTATATATATGAATATAATAATTAAAATAAAATATAATTTCCCTGACTCAGGGAGTTACCTGCAAAGGCCCTAGGGAAGCAGCCCATATAATGCTATTTGTTTTGTGCCTGAAAGCCCTGAGCTTCCAGATCATAGCCTGCTGTGAATCTTCCACACAGCATTGAGAGAGCATGTCATAGCCCAACAGTTAAGAGCAGACTTGGGAGCCAAATTTAGGTCAAATTTTAGATCTGCCACTTAGTAGTTGGGTGATCTTGAGGAAATTATTTAACTTCTTTGTGCTTAAGTTTTATCATCTTTTGAAAAAGAATCTCTACTTCCTTGAGTTAGAGGTATTAAGTGAGTGTATATATATATAGAGAGAGAGAGGGAGAGAGAGAGAGAGAGAGAGGTATTAAGTGAGTTTATATATATATATATAATAAGTATTATATAACATATATAATACTTCATTGAGTTAGGGGTTAAAGTGAGGTTTTATATATATATATATATCTCACTTAATATATATATACATATAAACTCATTTAATACCTCTAACTTAATGAGGTAGATTATTTATCTATATCTATATCTGTATATCTGGCATTTAAACAAATTGATTTGTTTAAAAATTATTCCACAAGATATTTAAATACTACCCTTATTCTGGTTAAAATATTCTTGTCACACTTGTTATTTAAGCCATATATGTATATGTGTGCATATGTATATATATGGCTTAAATAACATGTGTGACAAGGATATTTGGCTTGGACATACACATATATATGGCTTGGACACTGGTACACAAAAAAGTTAAGTAAGTGTTTGCTGTGGTGATGATGATGATGATAATGATCACAGCTTCTCATTTAGTAACTGAGGTAGACCTTCTTTCAGTGAGAAATCAACATGACAAGAATAATATCATCCGATGGGAGCAGCAGAGACAAGTCAATTTTCTGAGCCAATTCAGAATCTGCTATTTGGAAATGACATAATGAGCAACTCTCTCTCAGGATCCTCTTGACTATCAACCAAAAAGGTGGCATCCTTATCATTTATCAGAAGGTATAATAAAAAGTAGATTTGCCTTCTAGCATGTTGTCAGACATAAAGCCCTTAGGTTTAGAAAATGAATGGCTCCATTTTGTCTTGGCCTTTACAGCAATTGGAGAGGTATTATACCCCAATTCCAAGGTTATTATCTCTTCAAACTATCAGTATTGCTGTTGTTCTTTATTACCACGTAAATGAGATTAATAGAAGCTACATTTGAATGCTACTCTGAAAGTCAAAAGAGGAATCACTAAATAATAAAATCTTAACAGTGCAGGTAATGCTTACCATTAAGCTGGCATAAATCTGTATTCATTATTTCAACACCAATTACAGATTGTTTTTCTAGTTAAATAACAAATGTGACAAGGATATTTTAACCAGAATAAGGGTAGTATTTAAACTATCTCATGGAATAATTTTTAAACAAATCATTTTGTTTAAATGCCAGTTACTACCATTGTTCTAAGATAATAGAAAGTTCTTTACTGCAGCACCTCACTTAGAAAAGAAAAAGAGCTGCGGCCTATAAAGAATGACATAGGAACACTTTTCTTTCTCTCAACGTTTGGAGGTGGAACCTGAGGATAAGAGGAGGAAAACATGTCAATGCATATTTGTACCATGATCCTCCTGCAGCTCTCACTAGAGAATAGTCGTCCATATACAAGGAGAGATAAATAATAGGTGCTGTCACACTGCATCATTTTTTAGGACAAAGGCACAAACCTGGGGATGTCTGTCAGCAGATTGATTCTGTTGGCTCAGGCTGAAGACCTGCACTGGATTCTTTTGCTGACCTGAGCCTTGTCTCCCATCCTGTATACATGGAAATATATAAGAAGGCAGTGGTGACTTCTGGAAGTACATTTCTCAGAGATGACAACTGAATTACTCCTTCTACTAAGGCAAAGAGCGTTCATCCATCCACAAAGCATAAGTTGCCTTCTGTATGTTCAGATGTGTGCACTTTTCTCAGAGAATGGTGTGGTCAGGACAGCTTCAGTTGCAAATGAAAGAATCCTAACTCAAAGATTAAGTAACAAAGGGATTTTAAAAATATTCACCCAAGTGATGTTCTAGTTTCTGATGTTTCAAGATCCAAGAGCTCAAACAATATGTTCTCAGGACACCAAGCACTCTGTTTCCATCTCTAGTGCTGCTCGCCTCTGCTTGGCTTCACTTTCAAGAGAATCCTGCCTGGCAGAGCAAGACCCATATGACTCACATGGAACTTAAAGCTCATAATTCTCAAGAAAGAGTGGGGTTTCTTCCCTATAATCTACATCAGTCCTTGAAAGTTGTCTGAGAGGAGGGGCCCCATGATTGAAAAAAATCACAAAAAGTCAGGAGGGCTGCTTCCCCAAACAGGAAAATGCTAGCATACATAAAAGAAGCAGGTGTTTGCTGCATCAGGAAAGATCTTGAATTAAAGATAATTATATTGTCCTGACTTAGAATTCCTAGCCAGGATTAACATGAAGGAGCAGGAATCTTATTTTGTGGAAGGAGACCAGGAAATCATCTTTGCTACTTCAGGAAAAAGAGAAGTTGAACAATTCTTCTTGATGGCCAGTCAATTTAGGAATTTTATATTCCATGCTATGCTGAATTAATAGATGGCCAGTATAGTAGAATTGAAATGTAACTGGCCAACATTATTGCTCCGAGCTAACCCTTCCTCTCTTTCACTCTATGTTGGTATATCTGGTAGGCTCCTCCAAGCCACCAACAGCCTTCACACTCTTACAGGTTGTTTCCACAATAGAATAAAATCACGAAATAAATGAATTCACATTAATGTGCTTTTGGCTTGTTGGCCCTCCTGAGTCAGGATGGTGGTGGGAAAAGACAATTATCATCCTCAGAATTTCAGAATAGATGCTTTAGTGGTGGAATTTGGTGTTTGGAAGACGCATTTTTCTTCCAAATACTCTGAAATCATAAATTACCCTCTTTGCTTGACTGCAAAACCAATCATGTTCAGGCTTCTGGCCCCAGTTGGGATTTCAGGAGCATCTTGGCTTTCCAATTAGCTGGTAATGTCTTGCAAATATCTCAAGCTCCTCTTGGTACCAGATAATCTTCAGACATTTTAGTGTGGCATATATTTAGAGGAGAGGAGGAGGGCTTAATAGGGGACTTGTTCTAGGATATCCTACTAAGGCTGATCAAGGATAATCTAATCCAAGGCAGTCACTAGGGAGAAAAGTGAGGAGCCACTTTGCTACCAAAAAGTACAAAGCAGAAGCCATTTCTCTGAAATTGTTTCTGAATGTCAGAGTTCTTATAATAGTATCAATAGTTAACACTCACTGTGTTCTTACTATCTGCCATCCACTGCTCTAAGTGTTTTACATATAATTTGTCATGTGACCAAGCCTTTGCAGACAAGTAACTTACCCAAGGTCACACCCTTAGTGAATGGCAGAAGCCAGAATTTGAAATCACATACTTTGTCTCTAATACTTGTGCCCTTCATCTGAACATAAGTTTTATGTTATACTAATTTAAAACAAACAAACAAAAACAGTAACAAGGCCGACAAAAAGTTAATATACCTATGCCCCATTAATTCATTCATATGCAAAACAAATGTTTGTTCTTCTGTATGTTTTATAATTCTTATTTTTCAATCCTCAGACACGGGACCAGATGTGCAGGAGAAATTGCCATGCAAGCAAATAATCACAAATGCGGGGTTGGAGTTGCATACAATTCCAAAGTTGGAGGTAAAACAGAGGATTGTCCCTATAGCTTGGCATTTTAATGTGAAGCTTACATCACCCATTGTAAATGGGGGAGGGGAGCTTTTCTTTTTAACAACTGGAGGAACAAATTAGTTCCATGCCAAAGTTGCTACAGGACTTGAATATGATTTGCCAGCGAGTCAATAGATATGGATTCCTAGAAAATGGATAGTTGAATATAGCCTATACATCTTTGCAGGAAAAAAAAATGTGGAAATGTTGAATAGCATTTGAACCAAATCTAATTTTCTCTATGTTCTGATTTAGAATGGTTTGTTATTGAGTGCTTGCTAAGGAAACAGAAGGAGGAGGTAAATTTAGGCAAAGACTTTTCCTGCCTCTCAATTCTGTAGAAGTTCTTCACTTTATAGAGAAGAACAGCTTCAAAATTTAAAAAAAGTACATACTTATTATATTAAATAGCCAAATTTTATCTTTTATAGCAAGGATGTAGGATTTAATTGTTTTCATCAGTGTCCTTATGGGGAAACACATGGTAAGTTGCATTAGGGCAACTGTGGACATTTTAATAAAGAAACGATTTACAAGAATTAGAGAAAACCAACAAGGGGCTAAGAAGTGGTAGGCAGATGTTATCACCTTTAGCCTCAAGGAGCAAAGGGAAGAAGTCAGCAGAAAATAGAGAGGGAAAGCTGTGGTCACAGGAGAGAGCCACTGGATAGGCCTTGAGTACAACAACAGAGCCACTTCTAGGCAAAGGGGATTCAGGGGTATAGGCACCTCATTCTCCTCTTGATTCCCACCCTCTTGCTGGTGTCTTCAGTTGGCTGAACCCAATGGGAAGACAGAGCCCATTGATGCAGTCCATGTTCTAATGGAGAAGAGTGGAAAGTGTATCTGCAGGGGCCAAGAGAAAAGAAAAAACTGTCTCTCCTCTTTATGCTATCCCAACCTCAGGCTTTCATGTTATGTTATAAGCTTCAAGTTTAGTTTGGTTTTCAAAAACCATAATCACAAAAAGAATCAATTGTAGAACATTTCAATTACAATAAAACCCCATTAAACTCTACATGAGTATACCTTGCATTTGGTTATGCATTTCTTTTTAGAAACCAAATAAATATACATCGTGACATGTAATGCATCTTTCATGAATATAGGGCACTCTTAGAATTTTAAGTGTCATTCCTGATTCCTTTGATACTAACATCTTCAAAGTGTTCTGTTAATTTTTAAAAAAAATGAAGGGAGAAGCACAAATTATGTAATTAGCTAGTAAAAGAATTCACTCTTTTAGTCATAATGAACGAAACAGCTATAGTTTGTGAAAGAATCATCTGATCCCTTCATTTTGTAGAGAAAGAATCAGAAGCAAGCTGCTCAAGGTAATGAAAGCAAGTTTGTGGCAGTGTAGAACTGAAACACAAGATTCCAAGCCTACTGATGTTTTCCATTACTCCATCCTTTGATGGTCTGGCCCCAAATGCATTTTTTACCAATAATCTTCATTTATTAGGCACCTATTGTATGTCAGTTACTCTACAAATATTATAGGCAGTGTATCCTGGTGGTTAACAGATTTAGGGGCTAGATTTGTAGGGTTCAAATTCTGGCTCCCCAGTTTCAAGCTATGTGGCCTTGAGCAAGTCACTATCCCTTCCTGGCCTCAATCTCTCCATTTATAAAGTGAGGAGAATTACGGCACCCACCTCAAATGGTGGTTGTAAGGTTTAGATGAGTTTATACATGTAAAGCCTGTGGATTGGTGGCTGCATATAGACTATCATGAATGCACATGAGCTGTTATTATCATCCCTATTTTACAGTTGAAGAAACTGAGGCACAGAGGGTTAACTGGCTTGCCCAAGATTCCACAGCTGGTAAGAGCAGAACTGGGATTTTTTTTTTTTTTTTTTAGACAGAGTCTCACTCTGTCGCCCAGGCTGGAGTGCAGTGGCGCGATCTCGGCTCACTGCAAGCTCCGCCTCCCGGGTTCATGCCATTCTCCTGCCTCAGCCTCCTGAGTAGCTAGGACTACAGGAACCCGCCACTACGCCCGGCTAATTTTTTTTTTTTTTTTTTTTTTTTTTGTATTTTTAGTGGAGACAGGGTTTCATCATGTTAGCCAGGATGGTCTCGATCTCTTGACCTCGTGATCCGCCCGCCTCGGCCTCCCAAAGTGCTGGGATTACAGGCGTGAGCCACCGCACCTGGCCGATTTTTTTTCTAAATGCATTTTTTTTTTTTTTTTTTGAGACAGAGTCTTGCTCTGTTGCCCAGGCTGGAGTGCAGTGGTTGCAATCTTAGCTCACTGCAACCTCTGCCTCCCAGGTTCAAGCATTTCTTGTGCCTCAGCCTCCTGAGTAGCTGGGATTATAGGTGCGTGCCAGCATGCCTGACTAATTTTTGTATTTTTAGTAAAGATGGGGTTTCTCCATGTTGGCCAGGCTGGTCTTGAACTCCTGGCCTCAAGTGATCCACCCACCTCGGCCTCCCAAAGTGTTGGTATTAAAGGCATGAGCCACTGCGCCTGGCTCTAAATGCATTTTTGAACAATTTCTTTTTTACAAATACAACTTTCACTGATCATATCAATTTCATATCATTTTACCTTTGCTCCATAGTAAATAAGTGTGAAAATCTAAGGCTGTGCACTTTATTGTATTATGAGCCTGAAGCCAGAAATAACCAGGTAGCTGCCTGTAATCTGTCCAGATTGTTTTTGCCTTCCTGGCTCTTGAATTCATAAGTCTGATGACGGGTGACAGCCTGTTGGAAAGCACAAAGAGCTACCGCACCTACATTGTCCTGATGAAAAATGATTCCCCTTGGGGGTGAAATCCATGGCAATGATTTCATCCTTGAGATTATTTAGAAGAATAGGAAGCATGTTCCTTGAAAATGTTTCTTAGCAAACACATGAAAGGATGGCCTCTGGGTTATTTTTAATCAGGGCTTAGAAACAAAAGTGCTTTCCCTATTTGTTAGTTTCCTGTTGTGACTAGATCTTTTGAAGCTACATGTTTCCTGTCCAGAGTCCTTGTGTGGCGTAGACTGGGCCACAGCCATTTGTGGGACAGCCATGAGGAGGTGCATCACCAGAGGGCTGCTTGGAGGGTCTTTCTGAAAGCTGGTCTGTCATTTAGTTGGGGTGGGAGGGAGGGCAAACATTTTGTAATTGACAACAATCACGGCCACTTCCTCTCATCCAAGGATGCTGCTCCACTTCAGACTCAATGCCCAGAGCTTTTGCTGGGAAGAGAGCCTTGAGTGGGACCAAAAAAAAAAAAAAAAAAAAAAACATCACAGCTGCCTACACAGTGCATGGTATTGCATAGTATTATCTCTAAAGTGCGACAAAAAAGCTTATGGGGGCAGCAACATGTTCCTTCCTTCTGTGGTGTCAGTAGCTGGGTTACAGAAATTGGGGACATCTATCTAGTAGTTACCTGGTTTTTGACTCTTAAAATCCTTTAAAAATACAAATAGTAAGAGTATTGGGCTTTTGTCCATGTACATACTGACATCAACCTTTGTGTGTCTTTGTTTATTTTGTTTCTCAGGCATAAGAATGCTGGATGGCATTGTGACGGATGCTATTGAGGCCAGTTCAATTGGATTCAATCCTGGACACGTGGATATTTACAGTGCAAGCTGGGGCCCTAATGATGATGGGAAAACTGTGGAGGGGCCTGGCCGGCTAGCCCAGAAGGCTTTTGAATATGGTGTCAAACAGGTAAGATGCTTTACACAGACCCACATGAAATGAAACCTGACCATCTGGATATGAGGAGAAGGAAAGAACACTTAGGTTACATGGAATAACATTGTTGTGGATTTCTTAACAAAGTCCTTTACAATTTTAAATGCACTTAGAGGGCCAAATCATTCTTCAGAGGGATGGGAGTTAAGGCTTAAGAAAGTTTTCCCTATTTGTGGCCAGGCGCGATGGCCAAGGGAGGCAGATCAATTGAGGCCAGGAGTGGCCAATATGGAGAAACCCCACCTCTACTAAAAACACAAAAATTAGCCAGGTGTAACTAGGTTGCACTGTTCTGCAACCTAGTTTAGACAGTGAAACTGTGGTCTCAACTTAGATGCCTATAGTCCCAGCTACTCGGGAGGCTGAGGCACAAGAATTGCTTGAACCCAGAAGGCGGAGGTAGCAGTGAGCTGAGATTGCAGCATTGCACTCCAGCCTGGGTGACAGAGTGAGACCCTGCCTCAAAACTAAATATAAATAAATAAAATGAATTTTCCCTATTTGGGTCTGAGGTTGAATGGAAATTTATTACTTTTAGCATATTTATTTTAAAAGTGCTTCTGGACATTTCTTTCTCCTTACTCATTTTCCTGCTGCTTTTGGGTTTTTACACTAGTAAAAAACTACTCAGTCTTCTTCCAAGCGCGGAAATGCTTTTCAAATATAGAAACGTGTTGCCTTCTGCTCTGCACGTGCCTGTTGAATACCTGTGCCTTGGTTGGATTGCTCTGTCACTTGGGTTTACTGTATTCTTGCACAGATTCTAAAGCCTTGTGCTCCATAAGATGAAACAAAAGTAGAAACTCTGGAGAGCACAAATTGAAAAATCATAGAAAGGGCGGCTTTGACGAGTTCCATTCAATTGAAGAGTCCCTTTTAATGCAGCTGCAAGGCAGATCTGAATAATTCCTAATTTTGTCATTCTATCAGTCAGCCAGAAGATTGAAGCAGAAAGAAAGAGAGGAAGTTCAAAGATTTAAGTGCAGTGACATAAACTAAGAGAAGGGTGGAAAAATATGAGCAAGTGCAAAACGCTAGATTATGAATCTGCATAAGAAAGAAAAGCGTGTGCTCAGCCCTACCCCAGGAGGGCCCAGAGACTGGCAGGGCCAGAGTCCAGTGGCTTATAATACACAGCCTTGTGAGATTTCCAATATCGAAGCCAAAAGATCTGGAATTGAAAATAGATCCCAAATAGCTGTCTCTGAGAATTTCACACATGTAGTCGTTGGGGATTTTATTGGGATATAACAATGACCCCAATAGATGATAACAGATAATATGCATTCTGGCTTTTCCTTTAGGGGAGACAGGGGAAGGGGTCCATCTTCGTCTGGGCTTCGGGAAACGGGGGGCGTCAGGGAGATAATTGTGACTGTGATGGCTACACAGACAGCATCTACACCATCTCCATCAGCAGTGCCTCCCAGCAAGGCCTATCCCCCTGGTACGCTGAGAAGTGCTCCTCCACACTGGCCACCTCTTACAGCAGCGGAGATTACACCGACCAGAGAATCGTATGTTGCTTTTGTCTAATTCTCTCTGCTTAGTTAGGAGAGCGTGGCATGCATGTGAAATGATTCCCCTAACTGACCTTTGGTACGACTGATTCGCTTAAGCTTGATGTCTCAGTTGGGAGAACTCACACTTACTCACTTGAAAGGCTGGCATCCATCAGAAAGTTTTCTCTCCAGGGATAATGACACTTCTGCCAAGATGATCTTCCCCTCTGTCATTTTTAAACCCAGCCTTGAGAAGCCACCAAACCTGTCATTACACACAGCGGAGACTCCAAATGTCTTTTCTGCTTGTCTGATGCCTCCCTGGAAACAGCCTTAAAGGAGATCTCAGGGTTGTAGGGGCTTTATCACCCTTGTACTTGCTGATCCTTTAACAGCAGGGATATAGTCTGACCTGCCCTGTCGCAGATGATAAAAATACAGAGTCTACACCAGCTATGTCTCCTAAGAATGGATGACCTGCAGGAAAATAGCAGTTTCAGTGTCCCCTGAGGTGAACTGCTCAGCATCTGGGTAAGCAGCTCGGGGAGGTCGTATGCTCAGAGAGCTCCTCCAGCCCACGCTTGCCTGCGCCTTTGCTTCCATGAGTCAGACGGCCAAGGGCAATTACTGGATTTCCCTTCAAGGGCATGACGATGGAGGGGCATTTAGGGGCTTTGAGAACAAAGGGAGACACCTTTAATTTAAAAAATGTAAGGCCCCCAATTTAACTCCTGACACAGAAAGGACCAACTAGCTAAAGTATATAGATCCTATCTCAGTGAAATAGCAGGTCATGATCTAATTAGAGGGTGGGTGAACCCTATAATAATGACCTTGGAATGCGTGCAAGATTCCTATTAATGGCATCTCAACAAAATTGTCAACACGAACATCTTCTTCATACAGGATCACTTCTGCAAGCTAGTTTAGACAGTAAAGCTGTGGTCTCAACTTAGAAGTGTGGGCCTGCTTCTCACGCGCATCTCTTCAGCTACTCAAGTAATAGACAGTGGCATTCTACCGAGGGGTTTTATGGCAGGCACATTTTAAAGGGTTTGAAAGGGGCATATCAGACATCTGCCCCACTTGTCTTCAGAGCCCCTGGCTGTTGTCATTTCCCTGGGTGTCCAGAGCTGCCTTTAGAAAATGGCCTGTTGGGCATTTCAGAATCACCATTTCACAGACTGTTCCTTATCTTGGGTAACCTGCACTGAAGCAGAAGAAAGATTTTCTATCTTTGTAAAACTCCCTCCTTAAGAAAGCCAGCCTTAGGAGAGACAGCTGGTGGATTCTATTTGAGACAGTCTCAGTAACATAACCTTTTTCTTACGCAAACCTTTTCCTCAGCATAGTCATCTCTGGGGGCTTGCTTGCGTCAACAGGTAAAAAGGGCAACCTTGCTTCCGCAGCCCTCTGAGGAGCAGAGCCATCATAACTTGAGAAATTCAGCAACTCCAAGCAGGAAGCCAATGGAGGTGATAATAGAACAAATTATTTTTTTACACCTCCCTCCCACACATCGAAATCTCGAGCTAGAACTTCGGTGCTGGAGCCTGGGTGGGTGTCTTGTTAGTAATCCCTTGGCCCAACCAGCAGCGCCGTGGTCCTTAAGGCAGACAGGAAGTCTTTTCAGTTTCTTCCCTTCATCTCAGCAATCTCTTCATTACCCTAAAGTTAGCCAGGGTAATTCCTTACTTGCAAGAAAATTATGTAAAACTACTTTCACAGAGAACATCTCGGGTAAGTCTCGCATATGAGTCAGAAAATATAAATCGCATTTTACAGATGGGGAGCCAAATGACTTGCCCGAGGACAAATCTATTAAGTAGCAGTTAGAGAATTTGAACCCAGAACTAAGTCCAGCACACTTTCCATTTTAAAGACCCATCGTTTTCCTCAAAGTGTAAATGTGGACACCAACTCACAGGTATCAAATCTAGTTCAACAGTGAGTGCAAACTACATATTAAGCATTTTTTGTGCAAGTAGTTCAAATGGCTAAGGCCAGGATGTCTTCATATCCTTGGGCTGAAGAGGCAGCCAAATGTCAATCTGAAGGCAAAAGGGAATTTTGTATGAGACAGAATTTCTAAATATGCCAGACCAAACACAATGGACCCGATGATTAATGGGCCAGCATGATTCACAGTGATTTTGAAACTTTGTTTTTTATAGACAGCATTTCGTTTGGGAATCTCAGAAAAGAAAATATTCGTAGTGGGAGTACTTCATCCCCAGAAAAGGCATCTTGCTGCCAGAATTATAGAGAAGTTGCATATAGAGGGTGAACTAAAATATCAGCAGATGGCAAACATCCGCCTGTGGTTTAGAGGAGAAAGTAGGCAATCGAATCAGCTGAGTTTCCTGGTCATAGCAGATGCAGCCTTTGGTACAGTTAACCCCCAAGACAGGCCCACACTCCTCACGTGTTCTCCCTGCCTTTCTCTCCTTCCTGACGTCATCCAGACGAGCGCTGACCTGCACAATGACTGCACGGAGACGCACACAGGCACCTCGGCCTCTGCACCTCTGGCTGCTGGCATCTTCGCTCTGGCCCTGGAAGCAAAGTAAGGCCCAGAAAGCTTCTAATCACCTTTACAAAGGCTGATTCTCCTTATTTTTAATAACACTTTTTTTTCTGAATACATGGTTACAGGAGAAATTTTGGAATACTGCAAATAAAGATAAGCTCTTTCCTGCCACTTCGAGGTCACTAACCATAGTTAACATCTCAATGTAGATTTAATACACACACATCTTACAAAATTGGGATCTTAATATAGACGTTATTTTGTAATCTGTTTTTAAAACCCATTCTACAATATATTAAACATACTTTCTCCTGTCTAAATCAATATGCTTTGACCTTTAAAACTCATGCTATCCCTCAAATCTTCTTCCCACTCAGCTACAACGCCTTTTGTTTATTCTCTTCCAGCAGGATTTTGTTTAAATAGTTTCCAGTGGGCAGTATTAGGAACAAGTTTAAAAAACTCCTTTCTTTGAATATGTAAGCCTAGTCCTGGAGCTGATATAACCACATCAGGGGACATGAGATTTAAAGGCAGGAGTTTTATATTTTCACAGTGTTCCATTGTATAAACACAAATTTCCTTAAAGTCATCTAATCATGCTTAAACACCATTGTCAGTAAATATTAGTTGTCATCTCTGACAATTTCCTCAGGATAAACACTCAGAATTGGAATTTCTGGGTCAAAGGGCAAGCATGTTTTAATGATTTTTATATATATTGACAAGATGCTGCCTTGAATGACTATACCATTTTATATTCCCTCCAGGAATATATGTGTGAAAGTGCCAGTTTCCAAAACCCTTGTCAAAACTACTTTTATTATCTTTTAAAATATTTGCTATGTTGATAGGTGAAAATGGTATCTCATTTTAATATGCTTGTATTTAATTACTAATGAAGCTCAATATTTCATACCCTTCAGCTCTTTGTCTTCTGGGGTTGCTTCTTTATGGCCTTAGTTTTGTTTTATGGCCTTGGTTCACAAAAGCTAGATGCTTTATAAGTTTGACATTTACCTTTTAATTTGTTTCTATGTAATTTTTAATGAAATGTAGTTAATATGTATGTAGTTATGTTTGTCAGTCTGTTTCTTTAAGGCTTCTTCCTTTGCTTTTATGCTCAGAAAAAATCTTCACAACCCCAAATTAGATAAACATTAATTATATGTCTTTTATTATGGTTTCTTTACCATATTTAAATTCTAAATCCCTCTGGAATTTATTTTAGTGTATGATGTTAAAAAAAGATTTAACTTTTTTTTTCTCATAATTACCCAATAGTCCAATACTTAACACAGAGGAAAAAAATTGAACTGTCTCACACTGCACATCACAGCTTTTTATGTGTCCTCATTCCTGCTTTCTGATGTGTGGTGACAGTGAATCTTGAAATGTCAAGTCAGGTGCTATGGTTGCATATTAGAAGAAGTGATTAAACTTGTAAATTACTATTATCCTTCCTAATAAGGAGATTATCCTAGAATAAATTACATATTCTCTAGAGAGAGAACAAAGCAGTGTCCTTATGTCATATTCAGTAGACTCAGTTCGTAATAACAGAAAGGAAAAATATCTTGGCCTTTGCCATGACTGGAAAAGCCCTGAGGTTCCTGAGCCTTTGTCCAGGAGAGTCCAGTTTATCTCTAGGATCCCTGGGGCTTCCTATGGAGATGGGGTATATTCCTGGGTATCTCGGCTGTGAGATGGCTACAGTGGCTAAGCAAGGAAGTCTAGCAAGGCTCTTACCAAGAGTCCACCTACTTGGAGGGGCTGGCAAGATGTTTGGTAAGGGAAGAAGTAAATTCAGGTGCTCAATTAGAAATAGATATTGGGCCCTCCAGAAAAGCTATGTTCAGAATCTAAGTTCACTTATAATAGGAAGTAGATGGACAAAAGACAAAAATCTATGAACACAAGCTGAGACTGGCATCAGCAGATCCAAATTAACCGAGAAATAATTGTCCAAGCAGTGAAAATTGCAAGGAACACCTGGCTTCAAGTTCTAGCTCTACCACTAGCTATGTGGCCTTCGGCAAGTTAATTTACTTGTGGGGTTCAGTCTTTCCATCTATAAAATGAAGGGGTCAAACGAGACCTTTTTTTACAAACTTCTTCTCTTCCTAAGATTCTCAGAGTTGAGATTGAAAATGTCAGCCTGCATAGGTAATCCAACATGAATTGTTGGGGTCAGTGATGAGGGGTCTGGACTGGAAGAAAATAGGGTCCTATGGATTATAGGATCCTGTGCAACAGACTTATTATATTTAAGATTTCAAAACACAGACTACTACCCCAGGGAGCTGTTAAAAGAAAGCAATCTTAAAATTTTATGTCTAGAGCCTTTCTTCTCTATCCAACACCTGTCAGATGCATGTAAATATAACTAGCCGTGCCTAGCCCATCCTTGTATAGTGACCAATATAGTAGAAATATCCATCTGCTGAACAGAAGTAATGCCAATTTTATGTAAGAGCTGAAATTGTAAAAGTGCAATCCTTGGTTTCTAAAACCTCAAGGCTTCTTTTTCTGTATAGTGGAAAATGATCCTATACAGAAAATAATCCTTTCCTTTTCTTTTTCTTTTGGAGACAGTGTCTCACTCCGTCACCCAGGCTGGAGTGCAGTGGCAAGATCTCGGCTCACTGCAACCTCAACCCCTCCGGTTCAAGAAATTCTTATGCCTCAGCCTCCTGAGTAGCTGGGATTACAGGCATGTGCCACCATGCCTGGCTAATTTGATCCTTCTTTTTTCTATGTAGGAGAAAATGATCTAGGAATGATCTAGCCTCATTAATCTCAGTCTCTGATGGACAGTCTCTAAAGCAGGTGTTTCATTTCTGTGAAACACTCAGATGGGTTCCAAGGGGTCCATGAATCTCTTTGCAACTAAATGCAGAATTGCTTATAAATGTATGTATGGCATATTTCTGGGGAATGGCTTATAGGTTTCACCAGATTCTCAGTGTTCGTGATTTAAGAGATATTAAGAGTCTATGATCTCCCAGGTGCTTATCATAAGAATTTAATTCCCTTCATTTTGACTCAATTCATCAGTAAGATAAGTATGACTGATCTATCTTAACATTTATATCCTTACTGCCAAGGTACATAGAGGTTATTAAGATTTCTGTTCTCAATTGAACATTTTTCTGAACTCTATTCAATTGTCTATACCAAAGCTGAATGCCAGAATTTCTAGACATGTGACCAAGCTTTATCCCAAGGCACTCAAGAATGAGAAAATCATTTAATCATGTGCCATCCCACAGGAACAACTATGGAGACTGAAGAGCCCTTGCCTAAACTTATCAAGAATAATGGCACCCAATATTGATTAGGTTCTTACTGTAGACCAGACACAGCTGGCCTCTTTATATACAATATTAATTATAACGCTTACAACATTCTTATGACATAGAAATTATTAATTTCACCTATAAATGGGAAAAAATAAGGCTTAGAGAGGTTGAGATATATAACCAAGATCCCACAAAGAAATTCAAACTCAAGTCTCTCTGACTGCAAAGTCTGTGCTATCAGCAACCACACCTTGCAGCCTCCCACAGCCCTGTGAGGGAGAGGCAATGTTGAATGGCAGCCTATCATCTCCTCAAATAAAGGAGGGTTCGGAAGATTGAGGCTGATAAATGAACATGCATTTATGAGTTTCTTATAAGTTTTCTGTCACAAGCAGACTACTCAATATGCTGTGTTAAATGTTATATAGCCAGAGTATTGGGGAATGGGAGGAGAAAAGGAAAGGAGAAGGAATGGTTTCTGGCTGAATATGCACAAAGAAATACTTTCCTTCCCCAAAGCGATGTTTCTCAAGTACCAGCATATATAGTCATCACCTGGGGAGTTTATTTAACATGCAGGTTCCCAGGTCATTTTGCCAGCAACTATTCAGACCTTGTATCTGCCTAGGAGTTTCTGGTATTCAACCTAGGAATTCCTTTTTTAACAAATCTCCCAGGCACTTTTTAATGCTAGTAATACCTTAACCAAGTTTTGAGAAACAAATGCTATAAAGAGTTACTTTTACCACTGTGTTTTCCTACAACCTCATCCACCTGTGTTTGTGTAGAAACCCATTAGGGTAGTTAGTAGGTGTATCTTGGAGATAAATATACTAAGAGAAGAAGGAATTCCTTGCATAAATGTTTGTGGCACTATTATTATTATGTAGTGAGTATACCTAAGAAAGCTGTAGAAAATAGCCTCAGCCTTCTGAGGAGAGATCAAAAGAATCAGAATAATTTTTAATAGGTGAGGAAAATTCTGAAGTGAACCATTGAATCCCTTCACACCTTTGGAAATATTAAACAAACAGATAAGCCAAACTTCTGGTCTTATTAAAACCTGGAGAAAGAGAAATGGACTTTCAATGCTGCATGAAACCTTTGGAAAAAAATCACAACAAAAAAGTCTTGACTTAGTGGGTTGTGAAATGTTAGAAAGTCCAAGTTAGAAAAATTTTAAGATCTAGGCTAATTTAGGTATGATTAGAGGCTGAACCAGATAGCTCCTAAGACTTTTCACTCTGGAATTTTGTCTCCAAATTACATTACCTACATCTCTTCTAATTAGAAGCAATGCTTAATTCGGTGTTTAATTCCATACCCTTATTTTCTGTAAACATATCTTTGATTAGCCACTCAATGCAGTGTTTAAAAATTTAATTATCGTGGATGTCATTGAGCACAAATTAACAAAGGAAGGCTGTCAGGAATGAGTTGCACTGTTGTTAGCAGCTCCTTTTCATTTATGAAATACAAGCACACGAATGAACAATAACTCTGTTAGAAAAATACACCGGGGCCTGTCATGGGGTGGGGTGAGTGGAGAGGGATAGCATTAGGAGATATACCTAATGTAAATGACGAGTTAACGGGTGCAGCACACCAACATGGCACATGTGTACATATGTAACAAAACTGCACGTTGTGCACATGTACCCTAGAACTTAAAGTATAATAATAATAAAAAAAGAAAAATAGGTTTTTCTAATTGCATGACAATGAAGCTCCTTAATATTTTGCAGAGACTAGATAAAGGAAATTTTTAAAACAAAATAACCTGCAACTGCATATAAAATAAATGCTCTACTACAGAAACATAGGACACACATGCTATATGTGATAATCATGATTATCAGCACCTTGCCTTAAGCCTCCTCAGTACGCTTCCTCCTTCCTGCCTCCACACATGCACCTGCACATACTGATGATCCAAACGGAAAACTGGTGTGTTGCCCATTGACTGCCTTGATAAGAGGCTTTTACCTAAAACTCCTTTTAAAAGACTGGAAGGAAGCAAGCATTTCAATAAAATGTCCTATTCTATTTACAAGTGTACCAGGTGATCATGAGGCAAGCATTCTGGGACTCACTGAGGATCCCTAAACTGGTGTCCTTCCAAGGCCTCTCTGTCAGTCACTCTCCAGGGTAAAGTGGTATGTTTGTCGGGAGCTCAGCTCAGGTGAGCTGAGCTGTCAGGTGTGGAGTAGCCTATTAATTCAACAAGCCAAAAATGAAAGCATTGAGCCTTTAGTCACTTACTGCTATGACATAAGCAAGAGTCTGAAACCGGAGAAAACACTTACTCGCCCTGTTCCTGGCATACTGGTTGAGTGGCTCAGCACAGACTTGAGGGTCATCTCACTGCTGAGGGAGCCCCGAACAAAAGGCTCTGGCAATTTTATGGACTCTGAGGTGTGAGGCGGGGAGGGACCAAGAGAGTACGGGAGTGGAGAAGCACCAGGCACTGAGTCTGAGTGAGGAAAGTGTCTAGATGTTTCCCCTCCTCTCTCCACGAGGAGGCCTGACCAAGGGACCTAGGAAGGAAAGCTCTCACCAGCTAGGAATGTCAATATGGAAAGAACATGAGGGGCCAGGGGGCCTGCGGCCTTCATGGAAACTCCTCTCAGAGGCTGCGAGCCACAAACTGCACACTGTGTCTGCATGGGGAGGGCAGCTTCCCCGTGTGTCGTGCCAGGTAAGACCTTTGAAATCGCCTATGGTCAGGCCTGAAAAATCACACACGGTTTTTAACTAGGAGCCGGACTCTTCAGTGTTTAGGAATGTCCACTGCCTCTTTCTTGTCACAGGGGATTACTGAGCCAGTACATGATGGGCTCTGGGGAGAAGGCAGCAAAGTGAGCCAGACTCCCCTGATGATTGTTCTCCAACCGAGTGCTGAGACAGGAACCTTGAGGAGTAAAAACTGGGCATCTACTTATTACATAATGCTTGATTGGCTTCAGGGAACAATACAGGTCTCAAAGTCGAGGAAAAGTTTGAGAATCTGACTGATGACTAGGAGCAATATGTTTTAAAATTATATTTGGGGCTAGTTAGCACTTAGGCATGTTCAGTCTCTGAACCAACCATATCTGCTGAGCATATATACCCTGTGCCCAGCATTCTTCTGGGTGCTACACATCAGAGAACAAGATGGATAAAGATCTCACCACTTCTCATGGTTAAATTAGAACCAGGGAGAGAGACATCAACAAAACACAATACAAATGAGTTTCCCGCATGTTAGAAGCCTATAAGTGCAATGGAAGGAGAATATGCACATATAGCAGAATAAAAGAGCTCGGGACCATGTGGGAGAGTGGAAATTTTAAATAGGCTGATCAAGGAAGGCCTCATCATAGTATAATAGATCCAACAATCCCTTATATCTCTGATTTATCTTTATAGTGTTGCTAAATTAATCTTACTAAGACTTATGATTTTACTATTTCCTTACTCAAAAATTCTCACTGATTCCCACTGCCCAAAAGATAAAGTATAAGCTCCCTTTCTGGCATGCCAGGTTCTCATCGCTCTGGCCCAATACTCCTCACTGCCTCTCCCCTGCCCCAGCAAACCAGGCTGTCATCTGGCCACACCTGTACTGTCCCACTTTGGTGCTTTTGCTCCAGTGGCCTTCTTCTCTATCTCCACTTCTTAACACTCTACCCCCTGTCAAAGTCCAGCTCAAATATTTCTCCCCCACAAAGTTTTCCTAGATCTTTCTATTCCATGGAAATTCTTTCTACTCTAAACTCCCACAATGCGTTAAGCTATGAATATAGCACTCACCAGATAGAATTATAAAAGCCTTAATTCTTTTTACTGGATTGTAAACTTCTTTTTTTTTTTTTTTTTTTTTTTTTTGAGACGGAGTCCCGCTCTTTAGCCCAGGCCGGATTGCAGTGGCACAATCTTGGCTCACTGCAAGCTCCGCCTCCCAGGTTCACGCCATTCTCCTGCCTCAGCCTCCCGAGTAGCTGGGACTACAGGCGCCCGCCACCGCGCCCGGCTAATTTTTTGTATTTTTAGTAGAGACGGGGTTTCACCGTGTTAGCCAAGATGGTCTCGATCTCCTGACCTTGTGATCCGCCCGCCTCGGCCTCCCAAAGTGCTGGGATTACAGGCGTGAGCCACCGCGCCCAGCCTGGATTGTAAACTTCTAAAAGACAAGAACCACATCCTTGAATATCCCCATGGTATTAGCATAGTGCCTTGCAAGAGTGAGCTCAAATAGCTAAGAGTTTCTTGACGCTTTTGATAGATAAAGAAAAAGGCAATACATGTTTACAGCAGGTAGCCAGTCTGTGTCTTTAACATCTCACTCTTCCTAAGAAGGAAGTCAAGGCCTCGTCTGTGGGTTCATAATGCTGAAAGTGCTAAGGCTTTTAATGGACAGCATGAGACTGGAGGGCATAAAGAAAGTGTTACCATTTAAAATGTTTGCTCAGTTAAATGGAAGCAATTAGAAATTAAGGACAAAGTTTTATACTTCTATATTGCTGAGGACTGAATTTTACTCATAGTAAAAGCTTATATGCTCTGGAGAGAAGTCATAACTTATATGTTACAGGGAGAAGTTTTCAGCTCTGTATTCTGAATTCTGAATGAAAAGATATATGAACAGTAATAGACACTAGAATAACATAACTACAATAGCAAAAGGCACTTCATAATCCCTGAATGGAGATGCTTATTGTTAGCACTTGCTTTTGCAAGGAAACTTCATTTTTCTCTGAAAGACACTTTGGGTCACTTCCCCTCCAGCCCAAATCTCACCTGGCGAGATATGCAGCACCTGGTTGTCTGGACCTCTGAGTATGACCCGCTGGCCAATAACCCTGGATGGAAAAAGAATGGAGCAGGCTTGATGGTGAATAGTCGATTTGGATTTGGCTTGCTAAATGCCAAAGCTCTGGTGGATTTAGCTGACCCCAGGACCTGGAGGAGCGTGCCTGAGAAGAAAGAGTGTGTTGTAAAGGACAATGACTTTGAGCCCAGGTAAGTATCTCCTGGAATTTTAAACACATGTGTGCCCATGGCATAATTTCATTACTATGTTTGCCATTCTGCCTGATTTTTTTGTATCTACCCTTCTGAAGTAGATGGAGGTGGAATTTTCTAGTGTTCTCTGTGGGTATCCATGGGGACTAACTAAGAGACCAAAGCTCTAGAAACCATGTTAACCATTTGCATGTTCCTCTTGTAGTCCACCTACCACATAGCACCCAGTCTAAGATGCACCATTGTTTTATTGTCAATTAAACTGTGATCAACCACCCATCAGTTTTAAGATTCATTCTAAATTCAATGTTTAACTATTTTTTTAAAATGCATCTTAGGGTTGATGAAATGCAGTACTTGCCAACCAGTTTTACCCAAAATCTGCTTGCAAAATAGCCTTGCTTCATGCCACAGTGCTGTGTGATTCATGGCTTTTCTTCCATGAGGGATTCTTTATCATACACTTACTTAGACTCCCTCTAGCACACCACATCTTGTCACAGAAGAAATTTCTACTAGGAGTGTTTTGTAATTTCTATCAAAGCAATCAAAATAATACTGAAGACCTGCTCACACAAAATATCCAAGGATGGGAGGCTTGGGGCATGCCTTCAGAAGGCCTTCTAGATAAAATCATTTTTTTCTTAAGAGGGGCTTTTTGATGGGTCTACAATAAATCTGCCTGAATTTGACTCCACAGCAAATAGCATTGTATTTAAGTATTAGTGCCCCTTACCATTTTCTTATGCATTAAAATTCATGTATACATAATTCTGAATTAGGTTCTACACATCACAGGGAGTGACAAAAAGCTTAGTTGAGCATCTAGTCAAGATTGATGCATGCAGATATGCATAAAATGCAAGGAAGTTTGGATATACTTTATTCAATGCTGATTCTTTAATGTATTTAGAGCCCTGAAAGCTAATGGAGAAGTTATCATTGAAATTCCAACAAGAGCTTGTGAAGGACAAGAAAATGCTATCAAGTCCCTGGAGCATGTACAATTTGAAGCAACAATTGAATATTCCCGAAGAGGAGACCTTCATGTCACACTTACTTCTGCTGCTGGTAAATTAAAAAAGTTCTAAGCCATTTATATTTTTAAGTGTAAGTTGAATGATTCAAATAACTGATTGCTTTTGTTTATTCATAGAACAAAGTCTCCTAATAGATATTTTCAGGTCTTAAAAAACATGCTTATTTTTTCCTTTTTCTTGGTGTTAGATCTCCCTCTGCCCTGCCCATTTCCACTGATCCTTTGATAAGCAGAGAATGAGGCCCATTCAAATAATGCTAATTAATACACTTTTCTGAAGTCATGCATTTTCAAACTGTTTACTTTTCCATTTTACTGACCTATCACTTTTCTCTTAGATAGCAAATTAGTGAAAGTTACTCTGATAATTAACCAAACTCACAGATATATCCGAAACATACAAGGAGTCCATTGAAAACTGGGAATTCAGATCGATTAGAGGAGATTGAGAAGATTAACAAATTTATCATAGTAACATGAATAAGGCCATTTTATATGATGTATGAACATTTGCTTTTTCCTGCGAGGGCACTAATTCAGATAAGATAGTGGATGGGAAAGAGCTCGTGAACCATAAGCCATAATCTAACCAGGAGGAGCAGTCCCAATACTCCTTTATGTTTTAGCAGGACTCAACTGACTAAATTTGGTTTCTGTGGGTGATATGTGAGGAAAGATGAGCTATCTCTATGATCTTCCTCCTGAATATTAATTCTTAGAGGTTTGGAATAGGCTCTGTTAATTTTGAAGTTATGCTTTCTAGATGTATTGGAATTAACCTGAAATATTGGTGGAATGCTTTTTTAATTGATAGACCTGCAGTTATTTAACCCTTCCACATAGAACTATTATCAATTGATCTAGAAAGGGCTGGGACTTAAAAATTTACAGGTAACCTGTCTTTTAATATAAGAGATTGTTAAATTAATATATCTTTAAGAAATTAATACATTAATTAAATAATTATGATTATTAATGATTGCATAATAAATTAAATAATAATTTTTATGTTTAAATCATTATGGAGTCAGGCACCTACTAAATTTTCAAGATTTCCTCTCACACTTCAGAAATGATAGTTTCATTAAAATATTTTTAGATTTTTGACTCTCTAATTCAATTTGTAAATGTAGTTCGCCGAGTTTTCCTTATTTAAATAAACCTTAGTCAACATTTTCATTCATTCATTCATTATTTTTTCCACAATATTTATTGAGGCAAATAATATTATTCATTATTATATATGCCAGGCAATGTGCTAAGCACTATAGATAAAAACATCATATTTTTTCCTTGTGAGTGTCTCTATCCTGGTCTTATACTAAAAGAGAAAATTAGGAGAACTCATCTTTTTCAGCTTTTATTTTCAGTTATCAGATGCTAGAGTGTATCCTACTATCAGAGCTATTAGGACATTCATTAACTTGTATTTGTTTCATAGGAACTAGCACTGTGCTCTTGGCTGAAAGAGAACGGGATACATCTCCTAATGGCTTTAAGAATTGGGACTTCATGTCTGTTCACACATGGGGAGAGAACCCTATAGGTACTTGGACTTTGAGAATTACAGACATGGTAAGTGTGAATGAGAGGATGAAAAAACACAAGCTTACTTTTAAACATTTTGAAGCACTTTTAAGGTTGATTTCATCATTAATTAGGGCCCTAAAGAATTGTACCCCTTCTTAGTAGAAGTAAGGGAAAAGTAGAGTGTTTCAAGCCCTGACCACTTGGTTACGTAGATAATATTCAAAAAGAAAGATTAGGCTTCAGCCATACTATAAGAGGGGGAAAAACACTTATATAAACAATGTGACAGACTGTGGGACAAATCCAGGTGTTCCCATGTCTGCATGCAGCCAGCCATCTAACCTATTCAGCCAACAAAATCAATCATATTCACAAAGATACTTAAATGCTCAGACCAACTTTGGTGTGACATTCTGCCAGAGTCACATCTTAAAGGCATGCTTATGATTATTCTGCAATAGCTATTTAGATGTAGCTTAATGTTTGGAGAGATATCTTATTTAATATGACTTTTTTAAACAGTTTTAGTCATGAAACAAACCGAAAGCATTTCTCATTTCTTTTTCATTCTGTTTACTAACATTCTTTGACATCCTTCTGTAATTTTAACACACAGTCACAAAAATGCAAGTACAGAGCAAAAGTTAGAAAAAAGCCAAATATAGCTTAATTATTTATTTTTGCATCATTTCTCCAACATTCTCTGTAGGTGAGAATATAAATGAATAATGTTTTGGCTCTGAGTTCTTCTGTGACAAAAGTGTAATAAATATCAGCAGTGTAGAATTATACGCCTAAATAACTTTTTTTTTTTTTTTTGAGACGGAGTCTTGCTCTGTCACCCAGGCTGGAGTTGCAGTGGCACAGTCTCGGCTCACTGCAACCTCTGCCTCCTGGGTTCAAGCGCTTCTCCTGCCTCAGCCTCCCGACTAGCTGGAATTACAGGTACCCACCACCAAGCCTGGCTAATTTTTGTATTTTTAGTAGAAATGGGGTTTCACCATGTTGGTCAGGCTGGTCTCGAGCTCCTTACCTCAGGTGATTTACCCACCTCGGCCTCCCAAAGTGGTGGGATTACAGGTGTAAGCCACCACACCCGGCCTAGATAACTTTTTGAAAATAAATCATTTAAAGTTCTTGGAGATGTCAATTAAATTAATACAAATTCTATAGTCGTTTGTTACATTTTTTTCTCTGAGGATAGCTTTCTCCTAAAGACTGCTAAAATTGTGATTTAGAAATGGAAGTTGTAAAATGTCCTTCTCTCATAGAGCAAAAAAAGAATGTTCTTAGCATCTGGGCCTGTTCTTGAATTTGGCCTCTATTCTTCAACTCAATTTCACCATCAGGAAACTAAGAAAATCTATTTACCAAGGTGGGATTTATTTCATGTCAAGTCTGCAAAATCTGACCTTACACTTCTAAATTTTTAAAGATATTTTAGATTTTAACACATTATTTATAATTGTTGAGCCTTGAAAATTATGACTATTCCCCCAAATATGCAACTTTTTGTAACTGAATTTATAGACCTCTTATTTATTTATTTTTTGTCATTGAACTTTATAGACCTCTTTTATTTAGTTTTTTATTATACTTTAAGTTCTGGAGTACATGTACAGAGTGTGCAGGTTTGTTACATAGGTATACACATGCCATGGTGGTTTGCTGCACCCATCAACCCATCATCTACATTAGATATTTCTCCTAATGCTATCCCTCCCCTTGCCCCCTACTCCCTGACAGGCCCATTGTGTGATGTTCCCCTCCCTGTGCCCATATGTTCCCACTGTTCAACTCCCACTTATGAGTGAGAACATTCAGTGTTTGGTTTTCTGTTCCTGTGTTGGTTTGCTGAGAATGATGGTTTCCAGCTTTATCCATGTCCCTGCAGAGGACATGAACTCACTCTTTTTTATGGCTGCATAGTATTCCACAGTGCATATGTGCCACACAATTTTTAAGGGCTTATTAATGCTAGAGGTTGTTTATAATACTCCATAGAGGCTGACTTTTTTCCCAGTGGAATGTTTCTATAAGTTGATAATTGGGAAATATATTTATAGAAGGTACAGTCAGCTTTCCAAGAACACATCCAATATGGAAAAGAAGACTTACATAGAGATTTCTGATTTTTAAATTAAATGTTTGATTATGAAGCAATCAGTTTCTAAACTGTTGAACCTACAAATTGTCAATTTTTATAGCAAGAGTGGATCCAATGGTTTCTTTCACATGAAATGCACAGAATCTTAAAATGAGATTTTAACAATGAAATCCTTTTTAGCTATTTTGAATGAGTTTGTTTTATATTATCTAAAACACATACTAAATGTAGGTATGCTTATTTGTTAGTCTGGAAGAATTCAAAATGAAGGAAGAATTGTGAACTGGAAGCTGATTTTGCACGGGACCTCTTCTCAGCCAGAGCATATGAAGCAGCCTCGTGTGTACACGTCCTACAACACTGTTCAGAATGACAGAAGAGGGGTGGAGAAGATGGTGGATCCAGGGGAGGTCTGTGTGGCTCTGTTCTTGGCATGCTCTCTTTTGAACTGGGGTAGACAATGTAGTCAGTGAAGCTGTACCCAACTTCCAAGCAGGAAATAAGTCAAACATGGATGGGGAGGATAAGAAGTGATAGTGGTAAACTATTCTTTTCCATAGGATAAAACTGTATTTTTTTCATTCAATATTTTATCCAGAACTTAGAAATCACAATTAATGAATTCAAAAGTATTAAATTTCCTAACATGAATTTTCTCCACTTATGACAGATAACAAATGGAAAAAAAAGTTATCTTTATGCCCAATCACATATATCTAACATTTGTACTGTACTTTGTTTTTAAGCATTTTCCACATTGTCTCATTAACCTATAATCCCTATAACCTAGGAAGGATAGACATTCGTGTATCCATTTTGCAGAAAGAAAAACAAGGCTCAAATGGCCAAATCATGTAGGCTTCTTTTTATTAATTCATTAACTGACACTTCTTGGCAACACCAAGGGGAGCGATAGATCACACTTTTTCTCAAAAAATTTCAGAGGATAGCTAAAATAAGTCGTTCACATTCCTGGGTTTCAGCCTGCTATGGCTCCTGGCTTCCTTCTATCAGATGGTGAGAAAAGCCCACATTTTCTTTATCTCTGTATCCCAGCATCTAGCACAGTGCCTCAGGTGTAATAGGTAGGTTTTCAGAATTTTCAGAACGCCCTGCTCTGAATAGGTCCAGCTCTGAGCTGGGTGTTTTGGAAGATACAGAGGCAAAGTACATATTCAAGAAACTTACACATGAACTGTGAAGGCCTCAGCTTGAATTCTAGTTCCATTTATATTCTTCAAAGCAGCTTCCCTCCAGGACCTGAGTCCTGAGTACTTTTCTTCACAGTCTGGGAAGCAGGTTAACCTTGTCAGTGTTGGAATATTGAAACACTTCCACAGCAGTTGGCCAAGGTTGGCTTCTCTGAGCTCTCCAGCTCCCTCCTCCCCAGCCTAGCACCTCAGTCTCTCCCCTGACCACTTCTTACAGCTCAGTGGCTAAAAGGGTAGTTCTGAAAGCCAGTGCCTCCAGGAAGGCACACCCATGCTACCGCAACCAGTGGGTGCCTTCTATATGACTTGTTAGATATTTTGATATCCTCTGCTTCCCAAAATGGATTCCATGACAGCAGGCTGACAAGTAAAGAAAACCACCATGTACTGAGTACTTACCTATACAGTCTCATCTAGTCTTCAAAACCACCACAAATGGAGGTACTCTTATTCCACCTGACAGGTGAAGTTGAGGGAGATTAAAAAGGTTGTTAAAGGTACCCCAGAGGGTAGGCAAATGAGGGTTGAAGCCCAAGTCCATGTGGCTCCCAGTCTTGAACTCTCTCCCCTCCCCTCATTGCCTCTCAAGCGGCAGGCAGCGTTCCTGTGGTAGGGTTGCAACTAGCTTGCCTGGCCATAAATAATGAACCTTCTTCCCTTTGTGGATGGCATTCTATGTTTTAGGAGCAGCCCACACAAGAGAACCCTAAGGAGAACACCCTGGTGTCCAAAAGCCCCAGCAGCAGCAGCGTAGGGGGCCGGAGGGATGAGTTGGAGGAGGGAGCCCCTTCCCAGGCCATGCTGCGACTCCTGCAAAGTGCTTTCAGTAAAAACTCACCGCCAAAGCAATCACCAAAGAAGTCCCCAAGTGCAAAGCTCAACATCCCTTATGAAAACTTCTACGAAGCCCTGGAAAAGCTGAACAAACCTTCCCAGCTTAAAGACTCTGAAGACAGTCTGTATAATGACTATGTTGATGTTTTTTATAACACTAAACCTTACAAGCACAGAGACGACCGGCTGCTTCAAGCTCTGGTGGACATTCTGAATGAGGAAAATTAAAATAAGTGTGTGGTCCCAAGTTGGAAATATTCATGCTTCTTCCTTACCCTGCGATTTTGCCTGTGTCTGAAGTGGTTGTTTTGTCATGAATTCTTATGCTTATAATATCCTTTGTGGCACCTTTTCTTTTTCTCCCTAAACTGTACATGTGAAGGGGATGAGCTCAAGCAGGAAGTTCAACTTCCAGAATTGATCATAGGTATTTCAAAACACATCTTTCCTGTCTGCACAAGTGAAGTGTTTTGTTCTTTCTGGAGTCACAGTTGACAAAAAGCTCTTACACTACATTAGAACACTGCATTAGAGCCCATTTCAATTCTCAAAAGAAAAGGCAAAACCTGGGATATCAATTAATTTGAAAACATAATCTGCAAAGAATGAGAAGGAGTCAGAAACTGTTTCTGTAGCTTGTTCCCTGTCTTGTCCATGTGGTTCTTCAAATTTTGATGCCAAGAAAGTATTTGGTAGGCCTAATGAAGGAGTTCACTGTAAGACTCATTCCCTAGATCTTTCTATTCCAAAGTGCCACTCATTCCTGTAGTCAAAATCTGGTCATGTTGGTCAAAAGCTGGATTATTTAGATCTAGAAACAGATCTTGAAATCTGAATGCTCTGGTTTGAGCAATTTTCGAACATTCTTTGCCTGGTGCACTGTGTCTGTGGTGCCAGAGGCGTCCGTGGATCCAGAGGTGGTTATGACTCGTGCTGCATGCCTGGTCTTTCCTCTGTTTCTCCTTCTGAAAGTTTTCTATACCTGTCTCCTTTCTCAGCCACAAAATAAATGTTGGGAGAAATGATATATACCACTTTCCCAGAAAAAAAAAAACTTACACTTGGGACTTGGCAAATTCCTAGTCACAATTTTTTTCAGCAGTAACAGGAAACCACTTATCACATGGAGACCTAATGTAATAATAGAAAAATACTCATAATAGGGAGAAACCAAGAGAAGTTTTGTTTTTGTTTTTTTCCAACTGTGTTCATTAGAACAGCGTGTTCTAAGTATTTGAAACTGAATGTTTATTCCTTGATACTAAAAGTTCTTCTCCAATCCTATCACTGATAGTGTCCAAATTCTCACCAAATTGCTCCTAAGCTTCAAATCAGAAGCAGAAACTGGCAGGCCATGGACCTTAATTGTCCCTCAGGTAGATTTTGTTTGGTATGCAGAATGTTTTTAAAATATGAGTGGTTATTGAAAATATGATGTTTCACATAAAACCTCATTCTCGGACCCATCTTTGCTCATGGCAACAGTTAGCTGGAGCTGAGTAGCAGCTGCCTGATTAGATGACTCTCAGTCCCCATGGCACCCTGCTCCATGTTACCTAGAGCAGGCACTTGATTCCTTGCTGGGCAGTATCCAATAGGCATTTGATTTTGCCCACTCCTACACTAAGCGAATGTGTACAAAGTGTAAATGCATTAGGAAAAACAAACTACCCGCATCTTCTGTTAGGCAGGATCTGTACAATAATAATTATGAGTTTGCTTATGTAATCTCACCTCACCTGGATGATCACTAATACTAATTCATTTATTACTAACCTTCTGGCTTCCTTCTCTCAATATGCTTACAAAGTCTCCAGTCACCTACAATGCTGGCTTTCTCCCACTGAGTTTGCTGTTTGCAATTTTTCCATGAAGTTTGAACTTCATAAGGTAATTCATGGCATTGAACTGGTTCATGAAAAGAACACTAGAGTCTGTCATTTGCTTTGGCTTGAAGTATGGTTGGTAACACAAATTTTCACCTGCTCTTCTACCATTTGAATTTGTGTAGAGGGTGTTTGCAGAGCAATGCCCGTAATGCTTAGAGAATGTTCTCCTAAAAGACTTGCGGAATCACTCTGTCCTTGGAAGTTTCATATATTGTTTGATATGAAGTGTTAGATAGAATTTCCAATATTGGAGCATATCAAAAAGTATTAAAACTAAAAAGGACCAGAGAATTCTTAGATTGGCCCGGAAAGGCCAATAAAGAGTTAGAATGAAAACTCATTACTTTTCCATTCCCAATCTAGTGCTAGATGTATAAATCTTTCTTTTGATTCTTCCTAACAAAATATTTTCTGGGTTAAAACCCCAGCCAACTCATTGGGTTGTAGCCAAAGGTTCACTCTCAAGAAGCTTTAATATTTAAATAAAATCATATTGAATGTTTCCAACCTGGAGTATAATATTCAGATATAAAACAGTTTTGTCAGTCTTTCTTAGTGCCTGTGTGGATTTTTGTGAAAATGTCAAAGAGAAAACTTATATACTATTTCCCTTGAAATTTTAAACTATATTTTCTTTACAGGTATTTATAATATACCAATGCTTTTATCAAACAGAATTTTAAAGAGCATAATAAATTATATTAAAGAACCAAAAGTTTTCCTGAGAATAAGAAAGTTTCACCCAATAAAATATTTTTGAAAGGCATGTTCCTCTGTCAATGAAAAAAAGTACATGTATGTGTTGTGATATTAAAAGTGACATTTGTCTAATAGCCTAATACAACATGTAGCTGAGTTTAACATGTGTGGTCTTGGTATTCTTAAGGGAACTTCCACATTATACATTTGATGTATTGACCAGAATATGTAAAATATGCTTATAAATCAGAAAAATAAATTGTTTCTCACTAAGTCAAAAGAAAAAAAGCTCATGTTTCCACCACAAACAAGATCTCCCTCTTTTATTGTGTTTCCCAAATGGACTATACAAAAGAAAAGCTGACAGTTTACATTAAGGAGTTAATTCCTTTTTAGGAAATTGGGCTTTCTTGGAGTCAATTTAAGAATCTACCTGAACAAGGTATGTTTTATTTTCCTCTCTAGCCCATCCTTCACTTTCTTGACAACATGCAAAGCTGTATGACTGAGCCTTAACTGAAATGTTGAGAAATGAACAAACTATCTAAACTAAACTAAACAGACTTACTACATGTAAGAGAAATGATTCCCAACATTTCACCAAATAGGACTTAGTTTACAGGCTAGAGTAAAGCAGCTAAGTGTGAAATCCTTCCCAGAGGTTCTCTCATTAGAACCCTCAAAGTTCCAACTTTTTTTTTTTCTTTTGCTAGAGTCTCACTCTTTTGCCCGGACTACAGTGCAATGGCATGATCATGGCTCACTGCAGCCTCCACATCCCAGGCTCAAACGATCTTCCCACCTCAGCCTCCCTTGTAGCTGGGACTACAGGTGTGCACCGCCACACCCAGCTAATTTTTGTGTTTTTTGTAGGGACAGGTTTCGTCATGTTGCCCAGGCTGGTCTCAAACTTTTGGGCTCAGGTGATCCACCTGCCCCAGCCTCCCAAAGTGCTGGGATTACAGGCATCAGCTACTGTGCCAGGCCCCAATTCCCAACTTTGATTTCTGAACTTCAGGCCCACTTCTCTCTCTTGCTTCAAACTTCCATTCCTGGAATTTCGACCCACCATCTCAGAATCTGACCTTTCTCCCCTTGGGAACTGGTTTTTCCCCAGAATCCATTCATTTCTCCTAAGTCATAATCATTCAGTAAAACTAGAATGATCTTTCAGAAATTCCAGAAGGACTTCTTTCCATCAGGATTAGTTGAAGATATATCTCTATTTTCATTTCATTGATTAATCGATTAATTGATTGATTGTACATATTTAAGGTGTACAATGTGATATTGTGATATATAAATACATAGTGAAAAGATGATTACAGTCAAGCAAATTAACATATCCATTCTCTCAGTTACCTTTTTTCTTTTGTGGTAAAAGCACCTAAATGCTAAGAAAACTCTTTAAGCAAATTTCCAGTATGTAATACATTTTTATTAACTATAGTCCTCATGCTGTACATCACATCTCTAGACTTTTATCCTACATAACTACAACATTATACTATTTGACCTATATCTCCCCATTTCCCCCCACCTCTCCCACCCCACTGCAAAAACCATTCTACTCTACATTTCCATCTATTTGACTTTTTAAAAATTCCACATATAAGTGACATTATGCAGCATTTTTCTTTCTGTGTCTGGCTTATTTCTCTTAGCATAATATACTCTAGGTTCATTCATTTATTGCAAGTGGCAAGAGCTCCTTTTAAAGGCTGAATTTCATATGTGTGTGTGTATATATATGTATATATATATACAGAAATAGTTTGTGTGTGTTTGTGTTGTACATAAAACAATTTCCATAGATGGTCTCTACTTTCTTTTGAATGTCCATCTGGTAACTATTGGATTAACCATGTACATGCTGTGAGTACAAACACAAATACATGCACGTGTACAAAGGATACAGATTAATTCTTAAATACAAGTTTAAACTCATGAGGAGGAAGAGAAATGCCTTCCAACTGCCTTGTAATTTGCAAAGCTATAACATTCATATAAATGATTGTTTGAATTATCCACTCTGTTCCCTCTGCCCCTGTGGACAGAGTATACTTTCTTGGACCACTGATGTTGACCATGCAATCTACTTTGGCCAATGGAATATTAATGAATGTGATGCAAGCAGAGGCCTCAAATGTGCTTGCACAGTTTGGCTTGGCCCTTGCTTTTCAGTGACCCAGCGCTGTGAGGAGAGTGTGCCCCAGGAGCTACTGCCCCTTAAGCCTGGTTTCCAGAACAGATGTATATGAACCAGATGTAAATCAAAACCACATTCTGGAACCAAGCCCAGCCAACTCATAGCACGAAGCAGAGCCATCCTGAGAGAGAACAGTCTAACTAAGCCTGTATGTTGTTGCTATATGTACATATTTTATAAGCATTACTCTATCATTAATGTACCAGTAAAAGGAGGTGACTGAAGTCATTATGCGCCCATCATTCTCATGGCATGTGCCAGGGAGGCAGAGACCACTTTCCTGGTTTCTATACCGGTTCTCTCTACCATGTGTGCCACTTTCAGTCAATTTGGCTGGAATGCCATAAAGCACTTTCTCTCTCCTCCACATCCATATGCACCCCATCTCTATACACCCCCATATTGAGAGTATCTTCATTAAATATGTATCTGAACAGGGACCCCCAATCTTGAAAGGAATTCTTGTTCTTAGAAGAGGATAGAGGAAAACATCCTCGAATTTCTTCCTGCAGGGTTGTCATGATTGATCCCTTCATTTCCTGTATCCCTGTCCCTAGTGGCCCCAGTGACAGGTGATTTATAAACCTCGATGATGTCTCAGTGAGAGGAGAGTACCCTTTGGCCTTAGTTCTGTCTTACATATTTTACAACACTTCTTGCATCATCACTTCTCCTATTCCAGGCACCACCAGGGCTCAGCTCAAAACTCATTCTTGGGGAGGGTCCAGTGCTCCCCACATATCATGCATAATTTCCAGTTCATAGTCACATTCATAGAAAAGAGTATCATTTGAGTGTTCCATGGTAGGGTGCCTAATGCCAGTCTGTTTTGGATAAGAAAATGCTTACTGAATAGTATAAATTTTGAGCCCAAAATGTTAAGAGAGATTTGTAATAATAAAGAAATTTATGGGCTGTTTCAAATTCTCTTGCCAGAGAGAATTAGAAGGAAGAAAGCCCACTTATGAGGTCCTATCCATCCCATCAGGTGTCTCAGAGGTGGATCAAACCCATCTTGTTTATCTGAGCATCTAGGCCCTTGGCTCTGGTCATTCTTTACTAGCACTTAATAAGCTTTTGGGACATGAATGAATGGCCGTGAACCTGCTGTTGTTATTTTTACTTACAGAAACCAAAAAGCCACAAGCCTTAGCTTTTCTCAATCAGTTGCTGTAAATGATACTATTCTAATCATTAAAGGGCCAAAAATGTCTGAAAATATATTAACAACTTAAAGGCTAGAGGTGTGCACTCTTGAGTCAGCCACAAATGAATCTGAATCCAGGCTCTACCACCTTCTAACTATGTGCCATTGAGCGGGTTACCTCACCTTTCTGGGCCTTATTTACTCATATACAACAATGAAGTCTACCTCTTATGCATTTGCTGTTAGGATTAAATAAGATAATGCAGAGAAGTAATTTAGTTGTTTTTGTTTTGTTTTGTTTTGTTTTTGTTTTTGTTTTTGAGATGGAGTTTTGCTCTGTTGCCCAGGCTGGAGTGCAGTGGTATGATCTCGGCTCACTGCAACCTCTGTTTCCTGGGTTCAACTGATTCTCCTGTCTCAGTCTCCTGAGTAGCTGGGATTACAGGTGCCCACCTCCATGCCCAGCTAATTTTTGTATTTTCAGTTGAGACAGGGTTTTGCCATGTTGGCCAGGCTGGTCTCAAACTCCTGGCCTCAAGTGATCTGCTCGCCTCGGCCTCACAAAGTGCTGGAATTATAGGCGTGAGCCACCATGCCTGGCAAAGTATGGTTTCTGTAGAAAGTAAATATTCAGCAAATGTTAGTTTTCATTATTTGTGAGATTGTTGTTTTTATTGTGGTGTCATGAAAACAAAACGGACTTTAGAACCAAACAGATTTGAATTTGTAGCTCTTATCTGCAAATCCAATAAAGGAGAAAATGTAAGAGTCGATGAAGAAGATGAAAATACTGTTAAATATCTCTGGCTAAGATTATGTGGCCTCGTGAATTGTCATTCCAATGTGAACCTTCCTTTCCTAATGCCACATTGGAAATGGGTTAATCATCACCAGTGTAGACTGAACTGCAACGAGGAATCCTTGAAGTGACAGTTGAGGCTCAAAAGGCAGTTCCCCAGGACTAAGGAAAGCCAGAGGCAACAAGTGAGGGAAAAGAAGATATTGAATAAAGAAAATCATTGTTTAATTTTGTCTCACATCCAATTGGTAAGGATTTCTCCTAGCATCCAGAAAGAAATTGGAGTAACAATTTTCAAACAAAAAAAAATTTCTAAAGCATTGAGATGCCAATAATAACAATACAAAACAGATTCTTTCTTAACTATATTCACAGCACAGTGCATTGTTTAATTAAATTCTCACAAGAATCGTAAAAACGAATCTGAGATAAATAATATTATTGTCCTTATTTTGAGGATGGGAAAGTGAGACACTGAGGGGTAACATGTTTTGTTTACTTGCTTAAGGTCATGCAGATAGCAAGGAGTAGAGCTGAGATTTTAACCTGGCAGTAATTCCAGCATCCAAGCTATGCCTTATATTAGCAAGACAAAAAAGGTGACATGACACTTTAGAAGATATTTATAGCACGGAATAAATATTTATTCTTAAAAACAATTTTAACCTCATGAGAAGGAAGATAAATGTTTTCCTAACTGCCTTGTAATTTGCAAGGCAATAGCATTAATATACATGACAGTTTGAATCATCCACTCTGCTCCTTCTGCTCCATGAACAGAGTATGCCTTCCTGAACCATAGGAATCTACTGCAGATTCTTTTCTGTTATTTGAAATAATAGGAAAGCTTTTGTTAACTGAACATTTTCTTTGCATTAAGCATACACTTTCTATATTTTCACAATGATAATTCATGAATAAGACATGTTATTTCTAATGCTTGCATTATCCTACAAGTGAAGTATTTTTACATATATGGAAACTGAGATTCAGAAAGGTTAAATCATTTGCCAAAGGTTGTACAGTTAAGCCGCAATTTTAAAACTGGTTTATCCAACCCTATCTTTTTGCTCCTTCACTCTGTTTCACTTTTTAGCTTTACTTCCAAATTTTGCAAACTGATGCCTTAATAAGCAATCTCATGCTTCCAGGAACACCTAGAGAGTTTATACCGCTTCTTCAAATTTTGGAAACCCCAACAAATTTAAGGGTGAGAGAAGTTGTCCTTGTCAATCATCACTCCTTGACCTATTTTGAAAGGAACCAACGTTCTTAGGAGGCAACAGACCAATCCAATAACTCAAGCAACATTTGGATGAAGAATCAATCCCATGAACTCATGTGTGGCTCATCCCCAGGGATGCTAAGATATGTTAATAACCAGCACATTGACTCTAGGAGTATTCTAGTATGTTGGGCCATTCTATTTGTCTCCCCATTTCTTGGCCTTCCTGGCTTGATGTTAATGTGTCTTCTTTTTAAAAAGTTTCTCCAAGTCTATTCTTTGGGATATTTATCAGTGGTGTGGGGTGTGTATGTTTAAAAAGGATGCCCAAGTCTTGCACAGTTGTGGACAAAACCTGAGTTTTTTGCATTTTTTCACTGTAGGACTTCTCAATAGCCTTTTATATATACTAGCGTGTACTAAGACTCTTTAGGGGTGCATTTTTCAGCATTTGTCCAGACAGAATCCCTTTCTCCTGGAGCATATTCAGGGACCAGTGTTCTCTCGGCTCACTTGGAAAGACACTATCTCCTAGCCAACTACATCCTGTCAATAATTTCCCAGCCTGAGTCTGGGTTCCATCAGAAGCAAGGCTAACAATCCCCATGCTCCTGATTATTTCTGAGAGCTTACAGCTCATGCCTTCTCCTTGCCCCAGTGGAAAATGCTGCAGTGCCAGTCAGCTGACGGAAAAGAGGTGCCAACTGTGGTCAGTGAGGAAGATGAGTCATAGCCCAGCAGCAGGGATACAAGGGCAGGGAAGACAGCTCAGAGGTGGGAAGAAGAGAGGGAACTCACCCAGTCACGTATGTCCATAAGAGATAGAGTGGTCATTGTTCCAATTTGTCAAGGACAGCTTTCGTTTATCCCTGTTGTCCCAGCATAATTATATCAAAAGTATCTTATTGAACAATAATTATATCTTGTCACTAGAGTACAGATGTGGATTGTCTTCTCAGCTTGCTGATGAGAATTGTGCTTCCTAAAATGTTTTGTTCCCACCACAATCACTGAGTCTCAGAACTGGAAGGAATTATCTAATTTTCTACCCAATTTCCTACGCATGAAAGGAATGCTGGGGAGGATTCTGAGAAAAGTGTGGCTTCTTAATAAAAAGAGGTGCAGAGAAGAGATACCTCCTCTTCTCTGTACATACCTCATTGTGCCTGTATAAAATGCCTAGGACCTGGACAGTCATCCTGGGACCTTCCCATATCCAGTATCCATTTCTGAAAGAGCTCTCCAGTTCCATGAGCTTCAGACCCCATAAAACTCAGGTCGGCCTCCTACTCATCTCCCTGATCTAAGTCACAAGTCTATGAACTCAACATCTTGAGTATCTCTCAAGCCTGCCCACTTACTCTTCTCCAGTGCTACCATCCTGGTCCACACTGCCATCTTCTTTCACATTGCTATTGCAACAGAGTGCCCCTGGTCTCCATTCATACTGTGATGTTTCTAAATTGCATATCTTGTCACATCACTCTCTTCTTGAAAACTCACTGAAGAGTACTTAGGATAAAACCAAAATGCACACCTGAAATCCCAGCACTTTGGAAGGCCAAGGCAGGCAGATCACGAGGTCAGGAGATCAAGACCATCCTGGCCAACATGGTGAAACCTCATCTCTACTAAAAATACAAAAAAATTAGCTGGGCGTGGTGGCCTGCGCCTGTAGTCCCAGCTACTCGGGAGGCTGAGGCAGAGAATTGCTTGAACCTGGGAGGTGAAGGTTGCAGGGAGCCGAAATTGTGCCATTGCACTCCAGCCTGGCGACAGAGAGAGACTCCACCTCAAAAACAAAACAAAACAAAATCAAAATGCTTAGCATGGGTCTGAAGCCCTGGGCAATTTGTCCCTAACCTGTTTCCATAGCTCCATGTCATCTCCCTGCCCCACTCAGTCTCAGGGTATAGCACATTAGCACACTAGCACACTAGCCTTCCTCCGGTATGCTAATGTTCCAAGTTCTTGAACATGGTATTCTGCTAGAAATGCTTTCCTCCATTTCTTTTCTAGTTACTTCTTTCCTATTCACCCTTCAGAGCTTAGTTTATAAATTCTTTCCTCAGGGAAGCCTTTCTGATCATCATAATAGCAGCCTAAGTCAGAACCTCTCGTATATGTGTCTACATAGTGTTTATCACAAGGCAACCACACACATAACCAGTTGTTTATAGCTGTCTCCCCGAACGGAATGTAAGCTCCTCTAATGTCTCTCAGGTTAACTGCAGTATCCCAAAGATTAGCACCGTGTCTTGTACACAAGGTGAACATCAATGAGTACTTATGGACAGTGTTGTTGAGCATTTAGTTTATCTGCAGGTCCATGATGTGCTTTGGAAATTAGAAATTGGGAAGCCAGATTAACCCTTCTCAAGCAGCATGAATTGGCAGTGTTAGCATTTTCTTCCTCCATCCCTAGGGAGGGATTTTGTGACTAGCTACCTGGGTGTCACTGGATGGATTACTCTTCCTTTCTAAGTCTCAGTTTCTTCATCTGTAAAATGGGAATAATAATTTCATTTACCTCATAGGGTTGATTATTTGCTTATTTGGATGAAACACCCACTCTCTGTCAGACACTGTGATAGAGGCCAGAAATAGCATAATGTATTAAATACTATGTGGACATGCCCTCTGCTCTCATGGGCACTGTTTTTATTCATCGTTGTATCCCTCATCCTAGCACAATGCCTGGTATGCAATAGCCATTAAATATGTATTTGTTTAATTAATTAATATAGTTCTTTGTGCAAATCAGATGAAAGTGCCAATGAATAAAAGCAGAGAAGAATAATAGCTGATGCCCAGGGAGGATCCACTGGGGGTGGTAGTCAAGATGCTGAGCCCAGTACATGGATGGTTTCACTTATTCTTCATTCAGTGTTGTAGATACACTTATTATTATCCCCCACTTTACAGAGAGGGAAATACAGTAGTAGCACAAACAGCAGAATTCACCTGATCAAGGTCGCATAGCTAATAAGTGGTGAAGATGCATGATAAACTGTGTGAGCACTAAACTGACAGAACCCTTAGGTGGTATCAAACACTAGCTGAGAACAGAATCCTATGGAAAGAGGAAATGAGGAGAGAAATCCAAAGCTTAGAAAAAGTGAAGTAGCGACATTAGAATAGCAGCAGTGAAATATCTTTCTGTATTTTCATTCGGCTGCTTAGTTATCTAAGAAGACCTCATACACCTTTTTCACTCTTCTGTTTTTATGTTCAATGTCAGCTAATAGTACACTTAACTATGTCAGGCTGTATAGATTTATTTAACGCCACATTATATGCCATCAGTTGAAGCACTGGATCATAAGAATGCCATATAACTCTATGTATCTTGATAAGAAAATGCACTTAAAACCGAATTGTAGTCTGCCGATTATTGCTTATACTGATTTCAAAGTAGCCTGATGAAATAACACAATAAAAGGTAGACAAAGAAACAAGCCATATGTCAGATGTATTAACCACAAGGAAGCCAGACAGAGACTAGTATCTGAGATCAAAAGAGCATGTGTGTGACAAGGCAAAGCAAACAGCTCCCCTAGGAGACCAAGAGCTGCACTCACCAGCGCACCTCAGTAACCACGTCCAACAGTCAGGCACACATGAGCGAAATACTCAAGAGGCTTTTGAAAGCTGTGTTTTTCTTTTTGACATCTCTTAATTAATTATTTGTGTGACTGTTATTGACCATAATACCCAATTTTACATTCAGATCAGGAGGTCATCCTAATCTATTGCTGAATACATTACCTTGCTTGGGAGAGCCTCATGATATTCACATGCAAAATTATCCAAGAATAATTTATTAGGATAACAGTTCTTAAAGTTTTTGGAATCATACACCACTCACACTCAACATTATTGAGGACCCCAAAGGGTTTTTGTTTGTGGATTATATCTATTGAAACTTTCTGTATTTAAAAATGGAAAAAATTAAATATCTACTTATTAATTATAAAATTACAGTAATAAACCCACTGTATATTAACATAATTAACATATTTTTATGAAAAATAATTATATTTCCAAAACATAATGTTAATGAGAAGAATTGCATTGTTTTATATTTTTGCAAATCTCTTCAGTGTCTGGCTTAATAGAAGAATGCTGGATTCTGATATGTACTTCAGCATTCAACCTGCTGCAATATGAAATTTTGGTTGAAGTATATGAAGAAAAGGCAGCTTCACAAAGATATGGCTGAAAAAGGAAGGAACATAGTTGTGGATATTCTCCTGTGATACTACACCAAGATTCAACAAGATGTTTTTTAAAAGATACAATGTAGACTCTGAAACTATACCAATAAACTTTTTCGGCTCTCCTAAATTAAAATCTATTGGTCTATCTTGAACTTTGAATAGAGTTTTTACCCACGCGTAATTTTGTAACCCCCAAGCATTGCTATTTGGACAACATTGATTCACTGAGTTATGCAAATGTTCCAAATATTGACACATTTCATCATACAATAATTTTTTAAAATGCATTAGTTAATATTCCTAATTTCATAATAAAACCTCTAAATATTAAGAAACCATCAACCTCATGGTAGTAGATACAAGTTTTCTGAAACTTTAATTTCACTTGAAAGCTCAAACTTCATCACTGGCAACAAAGACTATCAGTTGTTTTCCTTGAAGTGACAGGCTCATTTTATTCATTTTCAAGAATTTTTTTTCTGCCAAATACTCAGGTCAGAATAACCACAGTTTTTCCATAAGTCTTTTTCTTTTTCAAGTAAAAATGATGTTCGATGAAAAAGCAACCAGTTCAGTTTGCAACTCAAACAATTACACAAATATTTTTCTTCAGGAAAAGCCTGATAATTTGGCATGCAGTAAAGTGCTTTATATAAACTTCACATTTCATCACCCAACTTAAAAGGCATATATTCAAGGGTCTATATTTAATTTTTACTGCTTCACCAAGAGTATTTTTAATTGCATCTGGAATTTTTTAAAAAATTATGAGTATGTAAGGGTGAAGCATAAAATGACTTCTAGTACAGTTTGGTGTAACTAAGGCACCACCAATAGCTTTTGTACCATCAATCTAAATATCAACAAAGTGAAAAAGCCAAATCATGTGAGGATTATTACGAAATCATGCCGGCTTTGCAGACACCCTGAAAAGATATCAGGACTTCCAGGGTTGTGCGCATGATAATTTAAGAATTGCCGTGTTAGCGAATTTTCAATATTAAGGGATATTGTTCCTTTTAGGCAAGCTCATGTGATACAGGTTAAAACCAAGGAGGGCTACATTGAACCAGAAATGGTCCTGTTCAGACACCATTCAGGACAGGCTGCTGTATACCCCCTCTATCCAATCCTGGCACTGGCACTCAGGTAATAACTGCCACCATGGATAGGGCTAACCCAGATTCGAATGCTTTTCCTTAATGTGGCTACACCTCTGATCTTTAACAAAATGGCCAAAAGGGCTGATTGAGGAGAAATGAACTTATGCTATAGAATCAAACATATAAATTCTATGTATGCTATAGAATCAAAAATATTGTGTGCAGGAGAGAGAAAATAATATTTTAAAATAACTTCGATGCAAATATAAACACAGCAAACTCTACCTCACTGTGGCTCTTCTGTTAACTCCCAGTCCTTTCACACTAGGAACTCACATCTAGAATGGTTCTGTGGTAGTAGATCCTCTGGCCCTAAAAGACAGGTAATTGTAAAAGGTTTTTACATTCATATCTGTAATTTATCAGAATTTATAATTACAATTTTTATACTTCATAAACTCCATTTTTGTTGCCCTAGCTATTTCTCCTATGCTACAGTGTAAGTTAATACAAATGTAGAAACCTGGGAAACGTTTTCCCAATGTGAATGGATTCACTAAATACTTGTTTCAAGTCCCTCATTCTCATTTATAAAACAAGAAATAGAAATAGCAAATGAATCTAGATGAGGGCCAAAATTAACCCTCATTAGTATTTTTAATGCAATACCTGCTTTGCTCTTACATACATACATATATTTGTAACATTTTTCTCACTTTTTAAGCCAATATTCAAAATCAATGAACGTGGTGAAACAGACTTATTCTACTAATGAGAACATTCACTGGTATCAAAAGCTCATAAAGATTCCTAATTTTTGATCCTATAATCCCATTCTGAGAAAATATCCTAAGGAAATAGAAATTTTGGCAAAAATGAGAGAGTATAACTAATTGCAGAATGCACGAATCAATTATGGCACATCTGTGAAGTGGAATGTTATTAGGTCACTAAAAATGAATTCGAAAGTTTTATAATACAAGAAATTATTTGTAATAACTATTTTTAAAAGTAGAATATATATTTACTTACATATATACATACACTGTAATCTCCATTAGGTAAAAATACATATACACCAACATAAAATTTTTAAATAATACATGTTAGTTTTTTAAAATTCTAAACTAGAAAATAATTTGAATGATAATAAAATGAATTGGTTAAAGTGTGGGGAAAGGACACTCATAAATAAGAGTATAAGTTGGTATTCTTTTTCTTTACGGCAATTTGCAGTATGTGCCAAAAGTTTTAAAAATATGAATTTTATTCATCCAGAAGTTCTAATTCTAGGACTTTTAAAGGATATCTTTAGAGCTATTTTCAGAAATTGTCTATTCACACAATGGGATAATAAACTGGCACTAAAAAATGATGGGGTTTATTTCTTGAGTTTGTTTCTTTAGTTTTTTGCTTATAAAACTGGCACACATTTTTCAGGTTTATCAAGGTATAATTGACAAATCAAAACTATATATTTAAGTGTACAACTTGATGTTTTGATATACATATACACTGTAAAATAATCATCCCAATCAAGCTAATTAACATATCTATCACCCCACATAGTTACCATTCTTATTTTCTTTTTTCTCTTTTTTGGTGCAGTGAGAACATTTAAGACCTATCTGCTTAAAAAATGTAAAGTATACAATATGGTATTTGTTAACTGTAGTCACCACACTGTACGTTAGAGCTCCAGAATTTATTCATTTTGTATAACTGAAACTTTATATCTTTTGACTGACATCTCCCAATTTCTCCTTCCCACTTTCCCCCTTCCTATTCCCTGGCAAACACCATTCCACTATCTGCTTCTATAAGTTTGACTGTCTTAGATTCCACATATAAATGAAGTCATGCAGTATTTGTGTTTGTGTGTCTAGTTTATTTCATACAGTATAATGTCCCCCAGGTTCGTCCATATGGTCACAGATGGCAGGATAGCCTTCTTGTAAGGCTAAAGAACATTCCATTGTATATATACATACCACATTTTTCTTTATTCATTCATTGGTTGATGAATATTTAGGTTGTTTACATATCTTGATTATTATCAATAATGCAGCAATAAATTAAAAATGATGTTTTTAAAAGTATATTCATTGATTTGGAAATGTATTCAAGGTAAACTGCTGAGTGGGGGAAAAAAGCATCCTAACATACAGTGTGAATAGTATTATCCTATTTTGTAAATAAATGGGTAAATAGTTGCACATATATACAGTCATGTATCACTTAACAATGGGAATACAGTCTAAGAAATATGTCATTAGGCAATTTCATCATTGTGTGAACATTATGAAGTATATTGACATAAGCCTGGAAGGTTTAGCCTATTACACATCTAGGCTACCCGCTATAGCCTGTTGCTCCTAGGCTACAAAGTTGTAGAATATGTTACTATACTGAACACTGTCGGGAATTGTAACACAATGGTAAATATTTTTATATCTAGACATATCTAAATATAGAAAAGGCATGGTTAAAATGCAGTATAAAAGAGAAAAAAAATGATTCGCCTGTATATCTAACCATGAAAAGAGCTTTCAGGACTGTAAGTTGCTGTGGGTGAATCAGCAAGTGGTGATTGAATGTGAGGGCCTAAGACATTACTGTACACTACTGTAGACTTTATAAACACTGTATACTTAGCCTACACTAAATTCATAAATAGATATTTTTATTTGTTCTATAATAAATTAAACTTAGCTTCTTGTAGACTTTTACTTTATAAATTTAATTTTTTAAAAAATTAAAAATTAAAATTTTAATTTAAAAAAATGAAAGTTTGACTGTTTTATTTGGCTCTTTTGTAATAAGTTGGCTTAAAACATACATTGTACAGCTGTACAAAAATATATTCTTCCTTTATGTCCTTATTCTATAAAATTTTTATCTATTTTATTTATTTTGTTTTACTTTTTAATTTTCTTCTTAAAAAATAGTACACAAACACACACAGCCTAGGCCTACACAGAATCAGGATTATCAATATCACTGTCTTCCACTTCCACATCTTATCCCACTGGAAGGGCTTTATGGGGAATGACACTCATGGAACTGTCATCTCCTATGATAACAATGCCTTCTTCTGGAATACCTCCTGAAGGACCTACCTGAGGCTGTTTTACAGTTAACTCTTTTTATATATATGTAGAAGTACACTCTAAAATAATGATTAAAAATATAGTATGGGGCTGGGTATGGTGGCAAACTTCTGCAGTCCCAGCACTTTGGGAGGCCAGGCAGGCAGATCACTTGAGGTCAAGAGTTCAAGACCGGCCTGGCCCACATGGTGAAACTCTGTCTCTAGTTAACATACAAAAATTAACCAGGCATAGTGGTGCATGCCTGTAATCTCAGCTATTCAGGAGGCTGAGGCTGGAGAATCACTTGAACCCAACAGGCAGAGGTTGTAGTAAGCTGAGATTGCACCACTGCACTCCAGCCTGGGCGACAGAGCGAGACTCTGTCTCAAAAAAATAAAAAAAAAAAAATAGAAATAATTTTTTTAAAGTACAGTATGGTAAACATATAAACTAGTAACATAGTTGTTTATTATCATTAGCTAACATTATGTACTGTACATAATTATATGTGCTATACTTTTATACCACTGGACGCACAGTAGTTTTCTTTACATTAGCATCACCACAAACACATGAGCAATGCATTATGCTATATTAGGATGGCTACAACATTGTTATACAATAGGAATTTTTCCACTCCATTTTAATTTTATGGGACCACTATTGTATATGTGGTCCATTACTGGCTGAAATGTTGTTATGCATTATATGACTGTATAAATGTATATAGAAAAAATATGAATTCACCCTGAGAGGTCTGAGAAAAGAAAAGAAAAGAAAAAAAAATGAGTAAAGATACCATGATATTAGCATGTGATATTAGAGGGTGATGGTCTTGTGGGTGAATGTATCAGTCAGGATTCTCCAGGAAACAGAATTAATAGGAGATATATATATATATTTATATTTATATATATTTATATTTATATATTTATATATATATATAGAGAGAGAGAGATTTATTTTAAGCAATTAGTTTATAGGATTGTGGGGGCTGGCAAGTTTAAAACTCAAAGGATAGGCCAGTAGGCTAGAAACATAGGCAGCATTTCCATAAGACTGTCTTGAGGCAGAATTTCTTATTCGGTGGGAACCTTCAGTTTTTGCTTATAAGGCCTTCAACTGCTTGGGTAAGGCCAACCCACATTATACAAGGTAATCTCCTTTACTTAAAGTCAGCTGATTGTAGATGTTAACCACATTGCTAAAATATCTTCACAGTAACACCTAAGTTAGGTTTTATTAAATCACTTTAGGAACTATATAGCCTGGCCAGTTGACACATAAATTAATCATCACAGGAGAATTTTCCTTTGGTTTTGTGTTTTTTATATTTCTAATTTTTCTTTAATGAAGCTACATTGTGTAGTAAACTCATAAGAGTAAACTCATGTGCATAGTAAAAAAAACACACACACACACACACACACCAAAAAGCAAATAATAAATTATCCCAGATGATGATTCAGGACTTATTTTCTTTATGCAATTTAACAATCTCTTGTAAATGCTCAAGACTTTTTCCCTTAATGCTATTTCTTGTACAGCTATAGGGGAAGTTGACAAAACATTCCTTTATTTAAGCAAGAAAACAACTTCCATATTTGAAGACACCTGAAAATCTCTATCAGATTCTTTTATTCTGTGTTCACATCCAATATTCCATTTCCAACGCCCTTTCTAGCTATCATAACTGAGGTTAAACTGCCCCTCTGTTACTATTTCTTATCTCCATTATTCAGGTTAAGACTCTTAGTTGAAAATCACAGGATGATTTCTAACTAATTTGAGCAAAATGAGACTTATTGAATATATGAGAAAGTGTCAGAATCTCAAAGAGTCAGAGAATTGGACTTAAAATGCTAAACAGCTAGAAATACAGGAACAATGCCCATCTTCTACCTGTGGGGAAATGTATTAGTGAAAACAGCCCTGCTACCACCACCCACTGCTCAGCCCTGATCATACCCGAGATTGAGAGCCGGAAACTCCAGCGCCACAACCCCAGAAGAACCGGAACCTTTCTTCCACCACAACTACCAGAAAATCTATCTCTCTGTGGCCACATCCTAACAGGGGTCTCTTTCTCATCGGTCTTTGGTAGGGGTGCATCTGAATGAGGAAAACTAGGTCACTTGCTTGTACCTTAAGTAGCAAAAGATTCTGATGCAGTTTTTGCAGCATGCTTTGATGAGACAGGACTCAAAAGATGGAAAACTACAAGACATAAGAGAGCATTTTCAAAAGATGTTCAGCAGACACAAATAATTACTGTACCCATCGACACATGAATACGCAGATTGATGCAGAGAGTCTAGTGCATAGTACAGTATTCTCCTTATTTATCACCCTTACCTTTCACACCTTGAGCTTGAAGAGTGGAAATCAGAAATTATTTCAGTCCAGGATGCTTTCCATTACACCTCCTCTATGTCAAAAGTTCCAGAATAGAGCAAATATTCATGGGCATATCAAGGTTTTCTTTCTGGAATGTCCCAATGAACTTGTTTGTTTTCTGGAAATGACCCTCTATTATGTGGTCCTAAATGTTTCCTGCTGTTTTTCTACTTGTCATATTACCAATAATAAAATAAAGAAAGAGGGAGGACGTTTTGAATCCAAAAACCTGTTTTTTGAATTGGAAAACATATGGTTCAGGCAGACATTGCTTTGGTGTTATGGAAACTCGTCTTTTCCCCACCAAGTTTATCTGAGTAGCTGGCAATTATTCTACTTTGAAGTGTAGCAGGTTTTCTACATAAGGTGCCAAATCTTAATGTTTTTACACATGTTTTATACCAACTCCACATGCTAAACTGAACAGTAAATACTGCTGCCCGCAATCAGAACAGGCAAAACATCACGTCTTTCAGCAAAAACAATGAATTCAAGTAGATAAGTGAGATCCTGTCTCTGCAAAAAATACCAAAAATTAGCCAGGCATGGTGGTGTGGACCTGTGGTCCCAGCTACTTTGGAGGCTGAGCTGGGAGGATTGCTTGAGCCCCAGGAGCTCGAGGCTGCAGTGAGCTGTGATTGTGCCACTGTAGTCCAGCCTGGGCAACACATTGAGACCCTGTCTTAAAAACAAAAAAAAAAGAGAAGAAAAAAAGAAATGAAATGCTCCATGTCCAGCACAACCAGCCTCATAGATGATAAAACTGCTTAGGTAGTGCTCTTAAGCATTACGATTCTATTGTTAGATGTTAAGTTATTCACAAGTCCGTCTTTGAAGGGATAGCTGCTTTTATTCCCTATCGAAATGTCCACAGGGCTGCAATGCATCCAGGATATGAAGCAATTTTCTGAAAGTCCTACACCTCAGTAACAGAGGAAAACTGGCTGTTCCTGAAAAAGACAAATGGACACATCCTCTGTGAAATATTGTTGGCAAAAGCAGAAAAGATTAAGTTGATCTACCAGCACTAAAGAGTTCTGTTGGGTTTGTCTACGTATTTTGGGACAGAAAAATAACACATTGCTACAGAATCTAAGACATTTCATGTCCTACCCTGCACCTTACACAAAGAACCTATTATCCATTATAAACAATCCCTTGGTGCCCTCTGTCATCTAATCTCCAGCCCACAAGTAGAAATGATCCTGAGGCCTTAATTGCTTTTCACAGGTCATCATCACTGTCATCCAGTTCTCTTTGTGGAGCAGAATAAAAAAGGCATGTAATGTAATCAGCTGTCAGAGTGTTCAGCTTTTCCTTGTAAGACAATCCTGCCTGTCAAATGAAAAGAAAGTATTATAGCAGAAAAAATATGCATGCTTGAATTCAAGTAGATGCTAAGGATTCTTTCATTAGAAAGAAAGCAAAAAAAAATTGGAGAATCAGTTCAAGAGAGGATATTAATATATCCTAATTAGCAATGCCCTTCCCTAGATGCGCCTGGACATTGTGCTATCATCTGTGAAGCTCTTTTTCATTGGGTTAAGTATAAATTGATGAAAGAGACACCCCGGAGCCAATCTTCCTAGATGATGATGCAAAAGATGTCCTTTTCAGTCAGCATTGATGGTGGCTCCTGCTGAAAATATCCATAAAGCCAGGAAAGAGGGTCACAGAAGATGAAGGAAATAAGAGAGTGGTTCCCAAGGTGCAGCCTTAGGAAAGGCAGAAATCTGGCAGGATTCTCAGGAAGGTGTGTGGGGCCCCCCAGAAAGATGTATTGCTTTTGTAGAGACAGGGACAGTATTTGAATCTGGAAAGAGCCATAACCCCCTGGCTATTCCTCAACTCTGGGATCAGGCTTGCTTGTTCTCTGCCTAAGTCCCATGGTATTACATTTATGACCAATGCAGCAGTCCCTGGTGGGTCTGGCCTCCCTAGAAATATTCAGCTCTTTCCCTGGGCCAATGGGTTCCAAATTTCCAAAGTCCTCCTCCTGCAGGTTCTCATGTCTTCCGAGGGCAACCACCATGATGATATCCATTGGCTAGAAGAGCCACCCCTGGCCAAGGTCTGGCAAAATACTGAAGGTCATGGGTATAACTTATATGTAATCAGATTCATGGGCAAAAGAAAAACAAATAAAGGACTGAAGAACAGAGTTCTCAGGAATTTTTTCCAAAATGGAATTTAAAAGGGTGAGGTATATAGCAAGGAACACTGAAGGAGCCACCTGATATTTAACAAACTGTGTTGTAGCAGCCCATAAACCTGGGTTCCAATCCTAGCCATTCTATTTACTACCTGTGAGAACTTACTTAAACTCTGAGAGCTTCAATTTTTCCCATTTCCAAAATTGGGGTGAACGTTGCTTCATGTAATTTACAGGAGAAAACAAATGCACAGCATTTCTGCACAATATTGGTACTTAATAAATGTTAGTTTAAAAAAACAAAGTTAATCAAGGGCAAATTATTGGAAGGAAAAATCAGAAAGTGAGCTAGAGGAGTTTATATGAATGATAACAAAGGCAGCCTGGTATACTGCCTTAGTATTAGAATATAATGTACTTTTAGCTCTGTAATGGTCATAAATCCTGCTGTGTTTAAGGTTTTTTTCTTCTGTTTGTCTTTGGATTTTTAATCCCATTTTCAGCCTGTAAATCTGGAGTGCTTTTAAAGACCAGTATAGACTGGTTGTCTAGGCTCATGATCAAAATTCCTTTTTCATACTTTCAACCAATGGGTATTTATTGAACACCTACTATGTGCCAGATGGTATGATAGGTAACAAGAACCCAACACCCAGAATGGTTCCTTCTTTCCTGTGATTTACAGTCCAGTGAGTGAAAGAGACAGAGAGCCTCCTAATAGAAGATAATGAAAGGAAAGTTTAATTTTGCACCTTGAGCGTTCAAAATACTTCATCTCCATGTCAGTGACAATAAATGTTTCTGGAAGAAGAAAGGAAGAAAGGTAGAGAGGGCAGGAAGTGTGCTATCAGAAAATAAATGTGAATATGCTAAGCCTCTGCCCCATTCCTCATCAACAGTTGACAGCGATTCAAGTAGAGGTCTCCTCCCCCATGGGCTATCACAGGATTAGTACAGCATCTACATGAGGTGGGGAGCTTATTGACTAGCCCTGTTAATGATGACCTTTCTGGAAACTTTTCCAGAACTTGAGTTTTTTAATGCTTTGGCACAATAATGCTTTATCAGCCTTCCTACATAATGAGCTATGGAAATGAGCCAACCATAGAAAAGTGACTCCATTTACTTAGTTCCATGCTACAGATGGCCTAGTGAACACTATGAGCTAATGGAAAACTAACAAATGCTGGTCCAGGTCAACAGCTGTTTCCTTTGTAACTGGGGTCTGCAAGACACAGGTGTATTTCATGGGCCCTTATGTAGACTACCATCTGCTAACGGATGTTCTTCATTTCCTTTAAATGTAAAGATAGGTACCCGGAATTGGAAGTGTGAATGAGTGTATTGTGGACATTAACTTGGCTTCATTTAGGTCTACATAGTTGGGGAGCTCTCCAATTTGAGTTATATCATAAACAGGTGAATCCCTAAGACAGCACCTCAAGTTTACTCACAGTTTCTCTACGGGCAAAATAGGAATTAGATGTGCTTTCTTCTATTGTTTTGCTTGTGGATTTGCTTTACATGTTTTCTCATAATTCCACCACATCAGGTCTCTCTGAAGCAACAGTTGCACAGTGTAGTCCAAGCAGGCAGGCTAGGCACTTACAATCCAAACTCTTCCTATCCCTACCGTGAATATGAAGAGAGCTGGAATAAAGCAACAGTACTGTTGACTTCCAGGCCTACCCCTTACTGTGAATCAGTGCTGCTATGCCTGTGAATTTCAGTTTTCTGTGTATACAGGTTGGATGCAGTTGTGGGGGGTGAAAATTAAAGAACCAGTCTGGCCCTGAAGGGGTGTTTGGCAGCTCCATGTTGCTCTTTAGTTTATGAGGTTCCATATTGCATATTGTCCTCAGTTTGGGACGCTTAAAGTTTCAAGAAAGTAAGAACAATTTCATTCACTACCCTGTTACAGCTGCTTGCTTCTTTTTTGTCTCTCTTACTCCTAGAAATACCCAGAAGTCTATTACAGTCGCTGTTTCATCCCCAGAATCTCTAACAGTGCCTGGTACATACAAAATTCTGGTCCTGGTTCTACTACAGTACTGCCTAATATTGTGTAATCTTAGGCAAGTCAGCAAGACATTTAACTTCTCTGAGTTTGTATTTCTCCATTTACTATTTTTTAAATTAATTATATATAATAAACTATAAAATATATTAATACCTCCTATAATGAGTTTCATATCACAAGGAAAATGGTGATAATCCTTAGCCATTCAGATCCTCTTTTATTCAGTTTGAAATGTAAGAGATTTCCATTTTGAAGTTCAAAACCAGATGAATAGCAGAAATTTCATATTATTTAACCTAAGTCATGACATACATTTTTATTGAGCAGCTACTATGTGCAAAGCATAGCTGTCAGACATTGGGGATACAACAGTGAAGAAAAATAAAACTTGTTATTATTGACTTTACATTCTAATTGAAGACAAAAATAGACTAAGAGATGAAAATATAGTGGGTCATGCAGTGAAGAGAGCTTAGAAGGAAAATAAAACGGAATAAAGAGACAAAGAGTCACTTGAGGGGAGGAGTGGCATACTAAAACAAGGAGAATTGAGTAAAATGTACCTACTGAATGTTGAGACTCTCAGCCACATTTCCTTACTTGGATTTCAGATTTTTGGCAGCTGTGTAATTAAATATCAGAAAGGAGATTAAAAGGTCTTCTCATATTCTTCTACGATCATCTTCCCAAGAGAAAAGATCTAAAGGAATTACCTTTGGCTTTCATTTAACAAAACAACCAGCCAGATCACGTCAGAGTGAATTTTTGCCACACAGCTTCTGAGAAAGCTTTTTGGTCCTCCATAGTTAAATACCAAGAGGCAGCTAAGGGCTGCCAGACCTTCTTCTAAACTTCAGCCATGAATCTGAAGGTTAGAAGACAAAGCCAACAAGCAAAAACAGTAACTTAGAAGAAACAAAGATTTCACAAGGAGAAGAAAACTTCAAAAATGTTTGATATTTTCAGAGACAGAAGAGAAGAAATACTTATAGATATTAAAAAGCTAATTTGGAGAATAAAAAATGAAAAACTCATAAAGAGATTTATGTAATAATCCATCAAGAACTAAGTAAAATTTATTTAAAAGAAAATTAAATAAATATACGAGAAATCAGAAATAGAAAAAATATATAAAATATATAGATAAAAACGCAATATAAGGTCAACATCCAAATAGTAAAAGTCCAAAAAAGAGATATAGAATATTGAGGGTGCATGGATGAAATAATCATTAAATAATTGAAGCGATTATTGAGAAATCATTGTAAAGTTTCAGAATTCTAACCACAAAGAAAAGATCACTTTCAAATGGGTGAGAAAACAGGTTTCATGCAACAGCAATACCAAGCTTTAGGAACAAAATGGAGTAACACTTTCTAAATACTAAGAGAAATTCTTTCCAGGTTTAAATTTCTTACCTAGCCAATTAAGGGTGTGGGTAGAAGGAAATTATTTTTAGACAAGCAAGATTTCAAAAACATTACTTTGCAAAACTTTTCAGAAAAGTAATAGAATAGATATTCTCTCAATATGAAGGAGCAATTCAAGAAAACATAGGATCCAAGGAACAGGAGCTTGTTAAGAGAGAAAACAAGAATCCCAGAGAGATAGTGGACAGAAATACCAAGCTCACAGCTCTGCAGCAGGCTGAGAGATCAGCCACTTCCTACTGGAGCGAATCAGAAGGCTCCAAGAGGAAGAACTGAATGTGTCTGAGATTTACACATGTGGAGTTTGAGAATAATTCTATAGGTTTTTTTGTTTTTTTTTTTTTTTAGATGGAGTTTCACTCTTGTTGCCCCAGGCTAGAGTGTAATGGTGCAATTTTGGCTCACTGCAACCTCCAACTCCTGGGTTCAAAGGATTCTCCTGCCTCAGCCTCCTGAGTAGTTGGGATTACAGGCATGTGTCACCATGCCCGGCTAATTTTTGTATTTTTAGTAGAGACGGGGTTTCACCATGTTGGCCAGGCTGGTCTCGAACTCCTGACCTAAGGTGATCCACCCGCATTGGCCACCCAAAGTGCTGGTATTACAGGAGTGAGCTATCGTGCCCAGCCAATTCTATAGAAATTCAAACAATTTTTAAAAATTGGTAATTAGTAACTCCAAGGAAAAGCAGAAAGGAAAGGGAAGGGAAGGAAAGGAAAGGGGAAAAAAAAGAAAAGTAATTAAAGGATACTATAAGGTTCAGTTATGAATACATTTGCATAATTAGACTATGAAAATGTTGGATACTTATATAATCAAATTATGTAAGTGGGTGAGAAGGACAATGAGGAACATGTTATAAAAGCGTACTAGAGGGGGCGATTTCAAGATGGCTGAATAGGAAGAGCCCCACTCTACAGCTCTCAGCATGAGCGATGCAGAAGACGGGTGATTTCTGCATTTCTAACTGAGGTACTGGGTTCATCTCACTGGGGCTTTTCCGACAGTGGGTGCAGGATAGAGGGTGCAGCCCACCGAGCGTGAGCCAAAGCAGGGCGAGGCATCACCTCACCCGGGAAGCACAAGGGGTGAGGGAATTCCCTTTCCTAGCCAAGGGAAGCTGTGACAAATGGCACCTGGAAAATTGGGTCACTCCCACCCTAATACTGTGCTTTTCCAATGGTCTTAGCAAACGACACATCAGGAGATTATATCCCGCGCCTGGCACGGAGGGTCCCACACCCACAGAGCCTAGCTCATTGCCAGCACAGCAGTCTGAGATCGAACTGCAAGGTGGCAGCAAGTCTGGGGGAGGGGCGCCTACCATTGCTGAGGCTTGAGTAGGTAAACAAAGCAGCCCAGAAGCTCGAACTGGGTGGAACCCGCTGCAGCTCAAGGAGGACTCCCTGCCTCTGTAGACTCCACCTCTGGTGGCAGGGCATAGCCAAAGAAAAGGCAGCAGAAACCTCTGCAGACTTAAATGTCCCTGTCTGACAGCTTTGAAGAGAGTAGTGGTTCTCCCAGCACAGAGTTTGAGATCTGAGAATGGACAGACTGCCCCCTCAAGTGGGTCCCTGACACCCGAGTAGCCTAACTGGGAGGCATCCCCCAGTAGGGGCAGACTGACACCTCACATGGCCGGGTACCCCTCTGAGATGAAGCTTCCAGAGGAACGATCAGGCAGCAGTGTTTGCTGTTAAATATTCACTGTTCTGCAGCCTCCACTGCTGATGCCCAGGCAAACAGGTCTGGAGCAGACCTCAAGCAAACTCCAACAGACCTGCAGCTAAGGGTCCTGACTGTTAGAAGGGAAACTAACAAACAGAAAGGACATCCATACCAAAACCCCATCTGTACACCACCATCATCAAAGACCAAAGGTAGATAAAACCAAAAAGATGGGGAAAAAACAGAGCAGAAAAACTGAAAATTCTAAAAATCAGAGCGCCTCTCCCCCTCCAAAGGAATGCAGCTCCTCACCAGCAACAGAACAAAGCTGGATGGAGAATGACTTTGACATGTTGAGAGAAGAAGGCTTCAGATGATAAAACTTCTCTGAGCTAAAGGAGGAAGTTTGAACCCATCGTAAAGAAGCTAAAAACCTTGAAAAAAGATTAGGTGAGTGGCTAACTAGAATAATCAGTGTAGAGAAGTACTTAAATGACCTGATGGAGCTGAAAACCATGGCACAAGAACTACATGACAAATGCACAAGCTTCAGTAGCTGATTCGATCAACTGGAAGAAAGGGTATCAGTGATTGAAGATCAAATGAATGAAATGAAGTGAGAAGAGAAGTTTAGAGAAAAAGGAGTAAAAAGAAAGGAACAAAGCCTCCAAGAAATATGGGACTATGTGAAAAGACCAAATCTACGTCTCATTGGTGTACCTGAAAGTGATGGGGAGAATGGAACCAAATTGGAAAACACTCTGCAGGATATTATCCAGGAGAACTTCCCCAACCTAGCAAGGCAGGCCAACATTCAAATTCAGGAAATACAGAGAATGCCACAAAGATACTCCTCAAGAAGAGCAACCCCAAGACATATAATCGTCAGATTTGCCAAAGTTGAAATGAAGGAAAAAATGTTAAGCGCAGCCAGAGAGAAAGGTCAGATTACCCACAAAGGGAAGCCCATCAGACTAACAGTGGATCTCTCTGCAGAAACTCTACAAGACAGAAGAGGGTGGGGGCCAATATTCAACATTCTTAAAGAAAAGAATTTTCAACCCAGAATTTCATATCCAGCCAAACTAAGCTTCATAAGCAAAGGAGAAATAAAATACTTTGCAGACAAGCAAATGCTGAGAGATTTTGTCACCAACAGGCCTGCCCTAAAAGAGCTCCTGAAGGAAGCACTAAACATGGAAAGGAACAACTGGTACCAGCCACTGCAAAAACATGCCAAATTGTAAAGACCATCGAAGGTAGGAAGAAACTGCATCAACTAATGAGCAAAATAACCAGGTAACAACATCATAATGACAGGATCAAATTCACACATAACAATATTAACCTTAAATGTAAATGGGCTAAATGCTCCAATTAAAAGACACAGACTGGCAAATTGGATAAAGAGTCAAGACCCATCAATGTGCTATATTCAGGAGACCCATCTCATGTGCAGAGACACACATAGGCTCAAAATAAAGGGATGGAGGAAGATCTTCCAAGCAAATGGAAAACAAAAAAAGGCAGGGGTTGCAATCCTAGTTTCTGATAAAACAGACTTTAAACCAACAAAGATCAAAAGAGACAAAGAAGGCCATTACATAATGGTAAAGGGATCAATTGAACAAGAAGAGCTAACTATCCTAAATATATATGCACCCAATACAAGAGCACCCAGATTCATAAAGTAAGTCCTTAGAGACCTACAAAGAGACTTAGACTACCACACAATAATAATGGGAGACTTTAACATGCCACTGTCAACATTAGACAGATCAACGAGACAGAAAGTTAACAAGGATATCTGGGAATTGAACTCAGCTCTGCACCAAGCGGACCTAATAGACATCTACAGAACTCTTCACCCCAAATCAACAGATTATACATTCTTCTCAGCACCACATCACACTTATTCCAAAATTGACCACATAGTTGGAAGTAAAGCACTCCTCAGCAAATGTAAAAGAACAGAAATTATAACAAACTGTCTCTCAGACCACAGTGCAATCAAACTAGAACTCAGGATTAAGAAACTCACTCAAAACCGCTCAACTACATGGAAACTGAACAACCTGCTCCTGAATGACTACTAAGTACTTAACGAAATGAAGGCAGAAATAAAGATGTTCTTTGAAACCAATGAGAACAAAGACACAACATAGCAGAATCTCTGGGACACACTTAAAGCAGTGTGTAGAGGGAAATTTATAGCATTAAATGCCCACAAGAGAAAGCAGGAAAGATCTAAAATTGACACCCTAACATCACAATTAAAAGAACTAGAGAAGCAAGAGCAAACACATTCAAAAGCTAGCAGAAGGCAAGAAATAACTAAGATCACAGCAGAACTGATGGAGACAGAGACACAAAAAACCCTTCCAAAAATCAATGAATCCAAGAACTGGTTTTTTGAAAAGATCAACAAAATTGATAGACCTGCAGCAAGACTAATAAAGAAGAAAAGAGAGAAGAATCAAATAGACGCAATAAAAAATGATAAAGGGGATATCACCACCAATCCCACAGAAATACAAACTACCATCAGAGAATACTATAAACAGCTCTACGCAAACAAACTAGAAAATCTAGAAGAAATGGATAAATTCCTGAACGCATACATCCTCCCAAGACTAAACCAGGAAGAAGTTGAATCTCTGAATAGGCCAATAACAGGCTCTGAAGTTGAGGCAATAATTAATAGCCTACCAACCAAAAAAAGTTCAGGACCAGACGGATTCACAGCCGAATTCTACAAGAAGGAGCTGGTACCATTCCTTCTGAAACTATTCCAATCAATACAAAAAGAGGGAATCCTCCCTAACTCATTTTATGAGGCCAGCATCATCCTGATACCAAAGCCTGGCAGAGACACAACAAAAAAAGAGATTTTAGACCAATATCCCTGATGAACATCGATGCAAAAATCCTCAATAAAATACTGCCAAACCAAATCCAGCAGCACATCAAAAGGCTTATTCACCATGATCAAGTTGTCTTCATCCCTGGGATGCAAGTCTGCTTCAACATACGAAAATCAGTAAATGTAATCCAGCATATAAACAGAACCAAAGACAAAAACCAGATGATTATCTCAATAGATACAGAAAAGGCCTTCGACAAAATTCAACAGCCCTTCATGCTAAAAACTCTCTATAAATTAGGTATTGATGGGATGTATCTCAAAATAATAAGAGCTATTTATGACAAACCCACAGCCAATATCATACTGAATGGGCAAAAACTGGAAGCATTTGCTTTGAAAACTGGCAAAAGACAGGGATGCCCTCTCTCAACACTCCTATTCAACATAATGTTGGAAGTTCTGGCCAGGGCAATCAGGCCTAATTGAATAAAGGGTATTCAATTAGGAAAAGAGGTAGTCAAATTGTCCCTGTTTGCAAATGACATGATTGTATATTTAGAAAACCCCACCGTCTTAGCCCAAAACCTCCTTAAGCTGATAAGCAACTTCAGCAAAGTCTCAGGATACAAAATCAATGTGCAAAAATCACAAGCATTCTTATACACCAATAACAGACAAACAGAGAGCCAAATCATGAGTGAACTCCTATTCACAATTGCTTCAAAGAGAATAAAATACCTAGGAATCCAACTTACAAGGGATGTGAAGGACCTCTTCAAGGAGAACTACAAACCACTGCTCAACGACATAAAAGAGGACACAAACAAATGGAAGAACACTCCATGCTCATGGGTAGGAAGAATCAATATCGTGAAAATGGCCATACTGCCCAAGGTAATTTATAGATTCAATGCCATCCCCATCAAGCTACCAATGACTTTCTTCACAGAATTGGAAAAAACTACTTTAAAGTTCATATGGAACCAAAAAAGAGCCCACATTGCCAAGTCAATCCTAAGCCAAAAGAACAAAGCTGGAGGCACCATACTACCTGACTTCAAACTATACTACAAGGCTACAGTAACCAAAACAGCATGGTACTGGTACCAAAACAGAGATATAGACCAATGGAACAGAACAGAGCCCTCAGAAATAATACCACACATCTACAACCATCTGATCTTTGACAAACCTGACAAAAACAAGCAATGGGGAAAGGATTCCCCATTTAATAAATGGTGCTGGGAAAACTGGCTAGCCATATGTAGAAAGCTGAAACTGGATCCCTTCCTTACACCTTATACAAAAATTAATTCAATATGGATTAAAGACTTAAATGTTAGACCTGAAATCATAAAAACCCTAGAAGAAAACCTTAGCAATACCATTCAGGACACAGGCATGGGCAAGGACTTCATGACTAAAACACCAAAAGCAATGGCAACAAAAGCCAAAATTGACAAATGGGATCTAATTAAACTAAAGAGCTTCTGCACAGCAAAAGAAACTACCATCAGAGTGAACAGGCAACCTACAGAATGGGAGACAATTTTTGCAATCTACTCATCTGACAAAGGGCTAATATCCAGAATCCACAAAGAACTCAAGATAATTTACAAGAGAAAAACAAACAACCCCATCAAAAAGTGGGTAAAGTATATGAACAGACACCTCTGAAAAGAAGACATTTATGCAGCCAACAGACACATGAAAAAATGCTCATCATCACTGGCCATCAGAGAAATGCAAATCAAAACCACAATGAGATACCATCTCACACCAGTTAGAATGGCAATCATTCAAAAGTCAGGAAACAACAGGTGCTGGAGAGGATGTGGAGAAATAGGAACACTTTTACACTGTTGGTGGGACTGTAAACTAGTTCAACCATTGTGGAAGACAGTGTGGTGATTCCTCAAGGATCTAGAATTAGAAATACCATTTGACCCAGCCATCCCATTACTGGGGATATACCCAAAGGATTATAAATCATGCTGCTATAAAGACACATGCACACATATGTTTATTGCGGCACTGTTCACAATAGCAAAGACTTGGAACCAACCCAAATGTCCATCAATGATAGACTGGATTAAGAAAATGTGGCACATATACACCATGGAATACTATGCAGCCATAAAAAAGGATGAGTTCATGTCCTTTGTAGGGACATGGATGAAGCTGGAAACCATCATTCTCAGCAAACTATCGCAAGGACAGAAAACCAAACACCGCATGTTCTCACCCATAGGTGGGAATTGAACAGTGAGAACACCTGGACACAGGAAGGGGAACATCACACACCGGGGCCTGTCGTGGGGTGTGGGGAAGGGGAGGGATAGCATTAGGAGATATACCTAATGTAAATGACAAGTTAATGGGTGCAGCACACCAACATGGCACATGTATACATATGTAATGAACCTGCACGTTGTGCACATGTACCCTAGAACTTAAAGTATAACTAAAAAAAAAAAGAAAAGAAGCAAAAAAAAAAAAAAAAGCATACTAGAGCGGTGTGGCTGGCAAAATGACTGAAGACAAATCGCTCCTGTCAGCAGCTCCCACCGAGATCAACCTAGAAGGCAGATGATTTCCACATTTCCAACTGAGGTACCTGGGTCACCTCAATAGGACTGGTTAGACAGTGGGTGCAGCCCACGGAAGGTGAGCTGAAGCAGGGTGGGGCATCGTCTCACATGGGAAGTGCAAGGGGTCAGGGAACTCCCTCCCCTAGCCAAGGGAAGCCAGGAGGGACCATGCCGTGAGGAACAGTGCATTCCAGCCCAGATACTATGCTTTTCCCACGGACTTCACAACCTGCAGTCCAGGAGATTCCCTTGGGTACCTACACCACCAGGTCCCTGGGTTTCAAGCACAAAACTGGGCAGCCATTTGGGCAGACACTGAGCTAGCTGCAGGAGTTTTTTTTTCATACCCCAGTGGTGCCTGGAATGCCAGCGAAACAGAACTGTTCACTCCCCTGGAAAGGGGGCCGAAACCAGGGAACCAACTGGTCTAGTTCAGCGGACCCCACCCCCGCAGAGCCCAGCAAGCTAAGATCCACTGGCTTGAAATTCTTGCTGCCAGCAGAGCAGTCTGATGTTGACCTGGGACACTCGAGCTTGGTGGGAAGAGGGGCATCCACCATTACTGAGGCTTGAGTAGGCAGTTTTCCCCTAAGAGTGTAAACAAAGCTGCCAGGAATTCTGAGTGGCAGAGCCCACCGCAGTTCAGCAAAGCCACTGTAGCCAGACTGCCTCTCTAGATTCCTCCTCTCTGGGCAGGGCATCTCTGAAAAAAAGGCAGCAATCCCAGTCAGGGGCTTATAGATAAAACTCCCATTAGGCTGGGACACAGCACCTGGGGGAAGGGGCAGCTGTGGGTGCAGTTTCAGCAGACTTAAACATTCCTGCCTGCTGACTCTGAAGAGAGCAGTGGATCTCCCAGCACAGCTCTTGAGCTCTGCTAAGGGACAGACTGCTTCCCCAAGTGGCTCCCTGACCCCTGTGCCTCCTGACTTGGAGATACCACCCAGCAGGGGTTGACAGACACCTCATAGAGGAGAGCTCCAGCTGGCATCTTGCGGTTGCCCCTCTGGGATGAAGCTTCCAGAGGAAGGAACAGGCAGCAATCTCTGCTGTTCTCCAGCCTCTGCTGGTGATACCCAGGCAAACAGGATCTGGAATGGACATCCAGCAAACTGCAGCAGACCTGCAGCAGAGGAGCCTGACCGTCAGGAGGAAAACTAACAAACAGAAAGGAATAGCATCCACATCAACAAAAAGGACGTCCACACCAAAACCCCATCCAAAGGTCATCAACATCAAAGACCAAAGGTAGATAAATCCACGAAGATGAGGAAAACCAGTGCAAAATGGCTGAAAATTCAAAAACCAGAATGCTTCTTCTCTGAGGGATCACAACTACTCACCAGGAAGGGAACAAACTGGTGGAGAATGAGTTTGACAAACTGACAGAAGTAGGCTTCAGAAGGTGGGTAATAACAAACTCCTCTGAGCTAAAGGAGCATGTTCTAACCCAATGCAAGGAGGCTAAGAACCTTGAAAAAATGTTAGAGGAATTTCTAACTACAAAAACCAGTTTAGACAAGAACATAAATGACTTGATGATGCTTAAAAACATAGCATGAGAACTCTGTGAAGCATACATAACTATCAATAGCTGAAGCGATCAAGCAGAAGAAAGGATATCAGAGATTGAAGATCAGCTAAATGAAATTAAGTGTGAAGACAAGGTTATAGAAAAAAGAATGAAAAGGAATGAACAAAGCCTCCAATAAACATGGGACTATGTGAAAAGACCAAACCTATGTTTGATTGGTGTACCTGAAAGTGACGGGGAGAATGGAACCAAGTTGGAAGACACCCTTCAGGATATTATCCAGGAGAACTTCCCCAACCGGGCAAGACAGGCCAATAGTCAAACTCAGAAAATACAGAGAACGCCACAAAGTTACTCTTCGAGATGAGCAACCCCAAGACACATAATCTTCAGATTCACAAAGGTGGAAATGAAGGAAAAAATGTTAAGGGCAGACAGAGAGAAAGGTCAGGTTACCCACAAAGGGAAGCCCATCAGCCTAACAGTGAATCTCTCTGCAGAAACCCTACAAGCCAGAATAGAATGGGGGCCAATATTCAACATTCTTAAAGAAAAGAATTTTCAACCCAGAATTTTAAATCCAGTCATACTAAGTTTCACAAGCAAAGGAAAAATAAAGTCCTTTACAGACAAGCAAATGCTGAGAGATTTTGTCACCACCAGGCCTGCCTTACAAGAGCTCCTGAAAGAAGCACTAAATATGGAAAGGAAAAACAGGTACCAGCCACTGCAAAAACATACCAAATTGTAAAGACCATTGACACTATGAAGAAACTGCATCAACTAATGGGCAAAATAACCAGCTAGCATCATAATGACAAGATCAAATTCACACGTAACAATATTAACCTTAAATGTAAATGGGCTAAATGTCCCAATTAAAAGACAGACTGGCAAATTGGAAAAAGAGTCAAGACCCATCAGTGTGCTGTATTCAGGAGACCTATCTCACATGCAAAGACACACATAGGCTCAAGATAAAGGGATGGAGAAATATTTACCAAGCAAATGGAAAGCAAGAAAAAGCAGGGGTTGCAATCCTAGTTTCTGATAAAACAGACTTTCAACCAACAAAGATAAAAAAGACAAAGAAGAACATTACACAATGTAAAGGGAGCAATGCAACAAGAAGAGCTAACCATCCTAAATATATATGCACTCAATAAAGGAGCACCCAGATTCATAAAGCAAGTTCTTAAACACCTACAAAGAGACTTAGGCTCCCACACAATAATAGTGGGAGACTTTAACACCCCACTGTCAATACTAGACAGATCAACGAGACAGAAAATTAACAAGGAAAGGATGTTCAGGACTTGAACTCATCTCCAGACCAAGTAGACCTAAGAGACATCTACAGAACGCTCCACTACAGATCAACAGAATATATATTCTTGTCAGCACCACATCATACTTATTCTAAAATTGACCACATAATTAGAAGTAAAACACTCCTCAGCCAATGCAAAAGAATGGAAATTATAACAAACAGTGTCTTAGACCACACTGCAATCAAATTAGAACTCAGGATTAAGAAACTCAAGCAAAACCACACGACTACATGGAAACTGAACAGCCTGCTCCTGAATGACTACTGGGTAAATAATGAAATTAAGGCAGAAATAAATAAGTTCTTTGAAACCAATGAGAACAAAAACACAACGTACCAGAATCTCTGCGACACAGCTAAAGAAGTGTTTAGGGGGAAATTTATAGCACTAAATGCCCACAAGAGAAAGCAAGAAAGATCTAAAATCAACAACCTAACATCACAATTAAAATAACTAAAGGAGCAAGAACCAGCAAATTCAAAAGCTAGCAGAAGACAAGAAATAACTAAGATCAGAGCAGAACTAAAGGAGATAGAGACTCGAAAAACCCTTCAAAAAATCAATGAATCCAGGAACTGGTTTTTTGAAAAGATTAACAAAATAGATAGACCACCAGCCAGATTAATAAAGAAGAAAAGAGATAAGAATTAAATAGACACAATAAAAAATGATAGAGGGGAGATCACCACTGATCCCACAGAAATATAAACTACCATCAGAGAATACTATAAACACCTCTATGCAAATAAACTAGAAAATCTAGAAGAAATGGATAAATTCCTGGACACACACACCCTCCCAAGACTAAACCAAGGAGAAGTTGAATCTCTGAATAGACCAATAACAAGTTCTGAAATTGAGGCAGTAATTAATAGCCTACCAACAAAAAAAAGTTCAGGACCAGATGGATTCACAGCCGAATTCTACCAGAGGTACAAAAAGGAGCTGGTACCATTCCTTCTGGAACTATTCCAAACAATAGCAAAAGAGAGACTCCTATCTAACTCATTATATGAGGCCAGCATCATCCTGATACCAAAGCCTGGCTGAGAAACAACAAAAAAAGAGAATTTTAGGCCAATATCCCTGATGAACATCAATGCGAAAATTTCAATAAAATACTGGCAAACCAAATCTAGCAGCACGACAAAAAGCTTATCCACCACAATCAACTCGGCTTCATCCCTGGGATGCAAGGCTGCTTCAACATACGCAAATCAATACATGTAATCCATCACATAAACAGAACCAAAGACAAAAACCACATGATTATCTCAATAGATGCAGAAAAGACCTTCGACAAAATTCAACAGCCTTTCATGCTAAAAACTCTCATAAACTAGGTATCGTTGGAAGGTATCTCAAAATAATAAGAGCTATTTATGACAAACCCACAGCCAATATCGTACTGAATGGGCAAAACCTGGAAGCATTCCCATTGAAAACCAGCACAAGACAAGGATGCCCTTTGCCACCACTTCTATTAAACATAGTATTGGAAGTTCTGACCAGGGCAATCGGGCAAGAGAAAGAAATAAAGGGTATTCAAATAGGAAGAGAGGAAGTCAAATTGTCTCTGTTTGCAGATGACATGATTGTATATTTAGAAAACCCCATTGTCTCAGCCCCAAATCTCCTTACGCTGATAAGCAACTTCAGCAAAGTCTCAGGGTACAAAATCAATATGCAAAAATCACAAGCATTCCTATACACCAATAATAGACAAACAGAGAGCCAGATCATGAGTGAACTCCCATTCACAATTGCTCAAAGAGAATAAAATACCTAGGAATGCAACTTACAAGGGATGTGAAGGACCTCTTCAAGGAGAATTACAAACCACTGCTCAAGGAAATGAGAGAGGGCACAAACAAATGGAAAAACATTTCATGCTCAAGGATAGGAAGAATCAATATTGTGAAAATGGCCATACTGCCCACAGTAATTTATAGACTCAATGCTATCCACATCAAGCTACCATTGACTTTCTAAACAGAATTAGACCAAATTACTTTAAATTTCATATAGAAGCAAAAAAGAGCCTGCATAGCCAAGACAATCCTAAGCAAAAAGAACAAAGCTGGAGGCATCACGCTACCTGACTTCAAACTATACTACAAGGCTACAGTAATAAAAACAGCATGGTACTGGTACCAAAACAGATATATAACCAATGGAACAGAACAGAGGCCTCAAAAATAATGCCACACATCTACAACCATCTGATCTTTGACAACCCTGACAAAAACAAGCAATGGGGAAAGGATTCCCTATTTAATAAATGGTGTTGAAAAAACTAGCTAGTCATATGCAGAAAACTGAAACTGGACCCCTTCCTTACACCTTATGCAAAAATTAACTCAAGATGGATTAAAGACTTAAATGTAAGACCTAAAACCATAAAAACCTAAAATAAAACCTGGGCAATACCATTAAGGACACAGGCATGGGCAAAGACTTCATGACTGAAACACCTAAAGCAATTGCAACAAAAGCCAAAATTGACAAATGGGATCTAATCAAACTAAAGAGCTTCCGCACAGCAAAAGAAATTATCCTCAGAGTGAACAGGCAACCTACAGAATGAGAGAAAATTTTTGCAATCTATTCATCTGACAAAGGGCTAATATCCAGAATCTACAAGGAACTTAAACAAATTTACAAGAATAAAATAACCCCATCAAAAAGTGGACAAAGGATATGAACAGACACTTCTCAAAAGAAGACAATTATGTGGCCAACAAACATATTTAAAAAAGCTAATAATCACTGGTCATTAAAGAAATGCGAATCAAAAACACAATGAGATACCATCTCATGCCAGTTAGAATGGCGATCATTAAAAAGTCAGGAAACAGGCCGGGTGCAGTGGTTCATGCCTGTAATCCCAGCACTTTGGCAGGCCAAGCTGGGCAGATCATGAGGTCAAGGGATCGAGAACATCCTGGCCAAAATGGTGAAACCCCATCTATACTAAAAATACAAAAATTAGCTGGGCGTGGTGGTGTGCACCTGTAGTCCCAGCTACTCGGGAGGCTGGGTCAGGAGAATCGCTTGAACCCAGGAAGCAGAGGTTGCAATGAGCTGAGATCACGTCACTGCACTCAAGACTGGTGACACAGCAAGACGCCGTCTCAAAAAAAAAATAAAAGACGTCAGGAAACAACAGATGCTGGAGAGGACGTGGAGAAATAGCAATGCTTTTACACTGTTGGTGGGAGTGTAAATTATTTCAACTATTGTGGAAGACAGGGTGGCGATTCCTTAAGGATCTAGAACCAGAAATCCCATTTGACCCAGCTATCCTAATACTGGGTATATACCCAAAGGATTATAAATCATTCTACTATAAAGACACATGCACACGTATGTTTATTGAAGCACTGTTCACAATAGCAAAGACTGGGAACCAACCCAAATGCCATTAATGATAGACTGGATAAAGAAAATGTGGCAAATATATACCACAGAATACTACGCAGACATAAAAAAGGATGAGTTCATCCCCTTTGCAGGGACATGGATGAAGCTGGAAACCATCATTCTCAGCAAACTAACACAGGAACAGAAAACAAACACCGCATGTTCTCACTCACAAGTGGGAGTTGAACAAGGAGAACACATGGACACAGGGAGGGGAACATCACACACTGGGGCCTGTCAGGGGGTGGGGGGCTAGGGGAGGGATAGCATTAGGAGGAATACCTAATGCATGCGGGGCTTAAAACCTAGATGACAAGTTAATGGGTGCAGCAAACCACCATGGCACATTTATACCTATGTAAAAAACCTGCACGTTCTGCACATGTATCCCTGAACTTAAACTATATAAAAAAAAGAACTATAAAGAATGAAAAGAGAAGCATCCAGAGACATAGGTAAAATTTTTGAAATCTGTACTGACCAAAATATATTTTAGTGTCTGAAGATACTCTCATATTGAAAATGCAATATTAAAAAATTAAGAAAAAATAAAAAGTAAATTGTTTGATTAAAAATAAATAAATAAATAAATAAAAGCATACTAGACCTTCATCTTTCACAGTGGGAAGTTAACATTTATTGCCTAAGCTCCAGAACAAAGAAATATATACGTAAATATATATAAAATTAATAATATGCATAACATCTTATATATTATATTTACATTGCATAATTTATATTATATATAATATACATAATATATACTGTCTATAGGTACATAAGCATGTGTAAATATACATACAGATACATATATAAACATGTTATTCAAAGAAATGAAAATACCATATTTCATCAATCCTGAGACATACATTTTTTTTTTTACATTTCAACATCTCCATAATCAGGATACGTCTCAACCCATGGTGTATCATAGTTTAACTGGCAGCATTTGTTGCATTATAGAATCTCAGGCATTATTGATTTAATGAAATGCGGTCAATACCAATCAGTTGAAGGAGTTCAAAATGGCTGCCTCTGAGAAGCTACATAGATGGGGTGGTGAGGGTGGTAAGGGACTGCTATTGTAGTAACAACCTTGTGAAATTATTTGACTCTTTATGTATATGTGTACTTTATTTTTAAAAAATACTTCTAAATTATGTTTTAAAAGTTTTTAAAAATCCTGTTGGCTGTTTTGTGGAAAAGAATCACTAGGAGGATAAGATTGGGAAGGGGAAAATGAGCAGGGGCTCTCACTTGGTTCAGGAGACTGGTGATGGTTTAGTGATAACAATGGAGGTGGTGGTAATTGGTCGGATTCTTGATATGTATTTAAAGTAAAGCTGCCCAAGTTTACCAATGTATTGAATGTGGAATATGAGAGAAAGAAGAGAATCAAACATGACTACAAGGTTTCTGGCCTGAGAAGCTGGAAGGATGAAGTTTCAATATCCTGAGATGTGGAAGACTATATGAAAAGCAGGTATTAGTCAAGGTTCCCCAGGGAAATAGAAGCAACAGGAGATATAGATACAGATGATCGAGATAGAGACAGATAGATAGATAAGGGGGGATTTATTATGAGAATTGGCTCATGCAATTATGGAGGTTGAGATGATTCACCACATGCTGTTTGCAAGCTGAAGAACCAGGAAAGTTTGTAATGTTATTCAGTCTGAGGCTGAAAGCCTTGGGTAGGGGAAGGAGAAGAATAGTGTTAAGTCCTAAAGGTCAAAGGCCTGAGAGCCAGAAGCACTGCTATCCAAGGGCAGAAGGAGATGAAAATCACAGCTCCAGACAAGAGTGAATTTATCCTTCATCTGTCCTTTTGTTCTATTCAGGCCCTCAACAGACTGGATGATGCACACTCACATTGGTGAAGGTGGATTCTCTTTACTCAGTCTACAGATTCAACTTCTAATCTCTTCTGAAAACACCCTCATGTGCACACCCAGAAACAATGTTTTACCAGCGATCTGGACACTCTGCAACCCAGTCAAGTTGACACATAAAGTTAACCATCACAGCAGGATAAGGAAGGAGGAAATCAAGAGTGCAGTTAGGTCATATAAGTTTGGATGCCACTTAAACATCTAAGTGGAAGTGATTAGTAGGCAAATTATATACACAAGTCTGGAGTGCTGTACTAGCTAAACTGAAGATAAAATTTGGGTTTGTTTCTTCACTTTCCTACATCCCCCATCTAAAAAGTATGGTTATTGTTCACCTGCTTTTATAGGTAATGATAAAGTAAGTCTTGGTTTTTGTTTATGTGCTTGTTCAAAAATAAGTCTTCGAGTATTGTTTTTTTTTATCAATCAGTATTTGTAAGTTTTTGCCTCTTTCTGGTATTGTCCACAAATCCTGACCATGCTCATGTAAGACTGCTGTATTAGTCCATTTTCACATTACTGTAAAGAACTACCTGAGACTGGGTAATTTATAAGGAAAAGAGGTTTAATTGACTCACAGTTCTGCATGACTAGAGAGGCCTCAGGAAACTTACAATCATGGCAGAAGGCGAAGGGGAAGCAAGCACATCTTACATGGCAGCAGGAGAGAGAGCAAGGGGGGAAGTGCCACACTTTTAAATCATCAGGTCTCATGAGAACTCACTCACTATTAAGAGAACAATATGGAGAAAATCCACTCCCATCATCCAATCACCTCCCACCAGGTCCCTCCCCTGACATGTGGGTATTACAGTTTGAGATGAGATCTTGGTGGGGACAGAGAACCAAACCATATTAACTGCATACCTGTCCAGAAAACCTAAGCACGTCTTACCAAGACTTTGGTTCCTTTATGCAGATTTATTTTATTTTGATAATTGTGTTAAAAGGAATGGTGTTACCCCTGTTGGTGGAAATAAATTCTTCCTACATAGAGAAAAAGCTAAAACCAGATCTCCTATCACACTGAATCATGGATGCCAAGATTCTCAAGCAACAAAATTTAAAAAGCCTTCTGAAACCCTTAGAAACAGTTGCCTGGTACATTGCTAGTCAATTATGTTATGTTCAATTTCTTGGAGCCCCTTCCACAAACACATATACAAAGCAATGAAACGTAAGCAAATTTCATGAGTCAGGTGAAGTAACTCCTGCTTACTTTCTTCAAAGTAACACTAAAGTAAGGTCCTGATTTTATCCTCTCACCAGACGTTTTCCCATCAGACTTTTGAATTCACTTTACACATTTCACTTTGAAGAACACAAAAAGAGACACAAAACAAATTCTTTCTGACCAAAAAGACATGTATAAACATGATAAAGTCTTAAGCACCTTGGAGAAAGGCTCTTCATGAACTTTCTTGAGTTCCAGCCAGTCTTTGGCCATCACAGTATGGGCAGATCTGATAGACCTCTCTAATATTCTAAGTGTTGGGATGGTCCTCTAAGATGTGACTGTATGGTGAGGTACACTCTAGAGGCTAATTCCAGACAAGGAGTCACAAAAATACCCACCCAACAGTTATTTTGGTCTCTGCAATTAAAGGCATTTCGGTTAGTTAACTTTTCTGTGATCCTTTTAGAAAATCTGGAGAACTTTCCATTTCTTTCTACATTTATTATTTTGCACTCCCAATTTCTCCACCTTCTTCTCTATCCCTAAGCACTTAAAACAAAATATTTGATCATTTTTATAGCAGTATATAGTTAAACATAAAAGAACAGTGAGTTTTTTTCACCAATTTCTAGTGACAATTTAAAGACTGTTTTCTAACAGTTTTTTCTCATTACACCCACACTACCTTTCCCCTCAGTGTTTCTTTCTTGTAAAAATGACTCCAGATACGTAATACAGGTGTGCAGTAGACATATACCCTTAACAAACTGAGATAGCTTAATTATACTGGGATAACAAACAACCCTACATCTCTGTGGCCTAAAGCAGCAAAGTTTATTTCTTGCTTATAATACATTTCCCTCATGTGCCAGTTGAGTGTTCTGATTTCTGTCACTTTGTCCTCACCCAGAGACCTAGCCTGAGAGAGTGGACACAATCTACATTACCCATTGCTGAAGCAATGTGTAGAGACAGTGTGGCAAAAAATGCACTGGTTCTTAAACTTCCACCTGAAAAGGACACGCATGCCACCGCCATTATATCTCTTTGGCCATAGCAAGTCACATGGCCAAACCTAAGGGTCAGATAAATACAAATTTTTCTTACAGGTGGGGCACTGAATATTAGTAAACAGTTATACAATCCATTATACACACTCAACTACAGAGTTATGATGTTATGTGTTTTTATATCAAAATCCCTAGTAATAGAAGAAATTCCTGTTCACTTTGTCTAAGTGTTGTTTAGAAAAACATCTAAATTCTGAGATTCAAAGTCCTAAGTTACTGTCTCAACCTCACTCTGTATGTTTGGTTAACAGCTAATGGTTTCACATTTTGTAGATAAATAAAGGTCATCATCTCATTAAATGGATATGTTTCAGACCACAGAAAAATGCATGACATGGTTACCAAGGTTCTTCACTTATAATGAAGGTCTGAAAATGTCACCAGGGGAAATCAAGAGCCATTTTCAAGCTGAAACAATCAGTTCCAGTTGTGATTGTGCAATGATAATTACGCAGTTGTGTTCTATTCCTCTTCCCTAGTGTTATGGATGTCAGGAAATGTGCTGTTCCTTTTAACATTAACTCTTTATGGCTCAGAAAGATATTTGGGGGCACATGGAGAAGGAGGAAGTTGGAGTGGAATAGTGAAAAATGTGTGAAAAGAAAATAAATCTCGGGACCCCAAAATCACTAAGCCAAAGAAAAAAGTCAAGCTGGGAATTGTGTCAGGCAAACCTGCCTCCTATTTTATTTCTAAATAAGATAGCCACAAAGAAAAAAAAGCTACATATGTCCCTTACAATTTGCCCACTAGGAAATTCCTTGTGGGCTCCAATATCTTCACCCTAAAACAATTCTGTTGAATTTTACCCTGACAATGTAAATTGACAGCTTATCTTCACAGGTGGGGGACAAAGGACAGAACTTTGTCCTCCCTCTGCTCACCTGAGATAAATGGATATCTGATTGCTTACTCTGATGTAAAATGCAGATTTATGGAGCCAGATGAAGGCATAAGTGACTATTCCTCTACCTCCTTCTCATACGTAAATTGTGTATTTGGTGAAAGGCTGATCAAAGACTCAAAAGAGTGCAACTGTTTGTCTCTTATCTACACACACCTTCTAACAATTTATTTCTCTTTCCCCAATATTTGCTTTTTCCCTTTAAATACTGAAGCCCTTAAAATTATCTTTGGAGAAAGGCACAGACTTGCCTCCTGGGCACACATCATTAACTTTGGCAAAATAAACTTTCTAAATTGATTGAGACCTGTCGCAGACACTTTTTGGCTTACAAACATGAGATCAGGAATTATGACCTTTCCAGTATAATTTGACAAATCAAGCAATTTAGTCGATTGTCAATCAAGTGTGTGTTATCTATCTAGTTTACTTCATCACCACGTTTCTATTCCTGGTCATTTGTGTAGATTAGACTGATGCTATTTCTCACCTAAGCCACTGCACTAGCTTATTCCTTTCCTTCTTGCCTTCAATTTCTCTCTCTCTCCATTCCAACTTCCACATAGCAGCTATTTTACTAAAGCTCAGTTCTGATGGTGAAAGTTACACAAACAGAAAGGAGTTTACTGGCTCCCTGTCACTTACAAAATAATGTCCAGTTCCTAAGCACACCCTTTCCTCAACAACTACAGGTCAATCTACTTTTTAGTCTTTATTTTCCAATGCACCTTCTTAGGTTTAATGAAGTATGCAATTGAAAATAGTGAAATTTTTTCAGCAGCTAACATCCTCTTATTTTGAAAGATACAAATTTATCTATTCTTCCTTATAAGTGTAAATGTCTTGCTGACGCCAAAGAGTTTTTAATAGACTCATGATAACAATTAGGCCTCTTGATACATATGAAAGACAAAAATACCTGCAGTTGATCCTTGATGAACAGTTACATGTGTTGCATCCAAAGGCTAAAAGTAGATCTTTTTAAAATTACAGCAAAATAATCATGCCACAGAGAGGTCAAGGAGAGAGAAGTTAATAATATTTAATTATAATCACAGGAAAATGGTGAACTCTTAATGCCCAAACATGAATATATTCTTAAAAGCAGTATCTCAATTTAGACCAGAGCAACCAGTCAACTTAAATTCCAGCTGAGATTTATTTTAGTTCAATTTTGCAAATTGTCCTAATTGAATTCCCTTGGATAGGGAACAGTTTATACTGATAACTAGCAAAAAAAAAAAAAAAAAATAGTGTCCTTGTTGGTTGAAAAGAAAAATGAGAGAGAGACCAGAAAAAAAAAATTATAGAATATTTTGTTGGTTTGTGTAATGTTCTATGTTTTCTCCTTCCTGACTTAATCCCTGTCCTTCCCAAACTCCCAAAATCTTCATTTTACTCTTCAGAAACCCCAGCTCTATGAAACAATTCTTCTACATTCTCAAACATGTCTTCCTTGCACTTTCTGCTCATAATTAACCCTAACTTCCCATGTGGAACACCACTTCCGTTACAGCCCTTTTGATAGAAGTGGCATATTTCCTAATTCCCCAGGTATCTCAGGGCTGGAAGTGGGTTCATGTTCCAGACAAATATTTTTCCAGCCTCTGTAAATCCTGGACCTGCTGAGTCCAGGCTTACAGTCTCTGTCTTCCTCATTGCCATTGCCATCTGCCTCCTCTGTACACCATCTGTCCTTTCTTTCAGACACTGTCCACCATCCTCAATCCTCTTACTTTCTCCAACCCATGAACTCTTAGCAAATGACCCTGTCTTCTACTGGGGGAAAATAAACCATCTGATTGGAACTATATAGCCTCAACTTCCCACCATCAAATCCCAAAACTATCATTTTCTCCACCTTTCTGTTGCAATATGGAGATTGTCCCTTACCATCAAAAGCAATTCCTTCATCTGGACTTAGAATCTTTTTCCCTAGAGTCTTCTCCTTAGGAATCAGGCACCAACAAATCTCTCTATCTCTCCCTCTCTCTCTCTCTCTCCCTCTCCCTCTCTCTCCCAGGCCTCCTTCAAACTAGCATTATTCATGTCTCTCCAAATTTAAAAACAAAACAAAGAGTAGAATAAAATATTCCCTTAATCCTATAGTCCTTTCCATCCATCATCCTATTTCTTCCCTTCCTTCTTCTGTTACCTTTCTTTACTTGGCTTTATTTACTTTCCTCCAACTCTTACTCTAAATCTGGCTCCTGGGCCCACCATGCCACTGATACTGCCCTTGACAAGGTCATCATTGACCTCCATGATACTACATCCGATGAATGCATTTGAACTTTTCAGCTTACTTAATGACTCAGCATCTGCCAATTCAATGAAATAATCCTTTACTTAAAACATTGTCTGGCATCATCTTTTGAAACTCGATTTCTGTCTTATTTGTAGGCAATACTTTCTCTATTAATCATTAACTATTGGGGTTTGGGGGTTTTGTAGGGAGGGCTCTCTCTGAACTACTGTGTTCTTCTCACTTCACCCTCTCTCCACATCATCCACCCTGATGGCTTCATAGTAGACACGGTTAGTGGCTGCACAGCTCTCTTCAAATCATCTTTACCAGTCTCTGTGCCTCTTCCCTGGTTTTAGTTCACTTTTGCTCCCAATGACCCTTCAGAGGATTTCCTGTGGGGTTTAGAACTGGTCTTATTCCATTGCTGGGATGACTCTTAGGAACTTGGTGTGGGATGATAAGGCTGACTCACATTAAATGAGGTGGAGGTACCAGAGTAGTCTTGCCAGAGTTCTAAGGAAGAGATTCAAAAGCCCAAGATGCAGGTATGCCAAAATGGTTCTGTATAATAACTGAGGACCCGCCAGTGATGAAGGAGAGAAAAAAACCAAGGTCTGATTTACAGATAGACCAGCTTGGTATGCTAGTACAAACAAAAATAGACTGCTGCTGCATGACAGAGGTCCCAGCTTTGAACAGGAGTGCACCTGGTCATCCACTTTGTGTGAAGAGAGTGGCTTGAAGGAAGGATAAGCACGGACTTCTGAGCAGTGCAGAATGGATCATTTGGAATTGAACTATTTGGATTGGAAGATTGGGAACAAAGAGATCTGGAGTAGAAACAGGTTCATGGACCCATAGGAATGGGCAAACTGTGTATCATGCATTAATGTCCATTAGGGAGTATTCACTGTAGAAGAGGCTCTACAAAACTAGATGGACAGGATGACTTGACTGGTAAATGTCAGGTAGCCCTGGCCACACCAGGGCTGGCACACTGGGCCTCCTCAAAGAATAGTCACGGATATTCAAATGGAGGCTCTGCGTGAGCCCAGTGGAAGGGTCTCCCTCCCACCAATGCTGATCTAGTTACTGCCACTGCTGAAACCCGTCTGAAAGATGCCCAGTATGCTATCTCTCAAGAAGACACCATTTAGTTGCAAATAATTCCTTTTCTACCTTGAAAAGAGAAGTGATTTGTCTTATCCAGGAATAGCATATTTTCTGGGTATAGGTTTGCCTTTCTGCCCGCAGTGCCTCAATTCACACCTACTATTCAAAGACTCACAGAGTACTTGATTTACTGACATGGAATCCTGAATAATATTGCATCAGACCAGGAAGCCAACTTATGACAGATGGGGGTCACAGAACAGGTGCGTGAGTATGGAACCCACCAATTCCCACATACTGTATAGCCCAGATATTGCTATTTTGATAGAGATTGGAACAGTTTCTTAAAGTCACAACTGAGGTGCCAGCTTACAGACGATACATTATGAGGTTTGGGTGTTGCTTTAGGATGTAGTATATACCTTCTACCAATGGTCATTATGTGGTACTGTGTATCCAGTGGTAGAATATACGAATCCAGGAGTCAAGGGGTAGAACTAGAAAGAGTCTGTTCACTTCATTCCTACTGACTCACTTGTTATTTGGGAAATTTGTGCTCCTAGAAACTGGACCTAAGACAGGCTTCAATTACAATCTCTACAGTGACAAAAGCCAAATCCATTATCTGATCCACAACTTTCTTATAAGCTCAAAATCTGAATATCTAACCACCTGCCTGATATTCAAATTAGATGCCTCACAGGTACTTGCAAGCTAATATGTCCGAAACAGCAGTCACGATCTCTGCCTTCCTGCAGAATATCATTATAAGTGAATAGTACTGCCATCTACTCAGGAGCTCAAGCCCGAAATCTGGAGTCTTCTTCAAAATTTTTTATTCCTTTATCTACCATAGCCAATCAACCATCATGTTTTAGCAATTTTATTCTTCTAAATGTCACTCATATTTTGCAATCGGAGGATGTTAGCCTACTGGCACCACCCAAATGCAAACTCCATCATTTCTCAATTGGATCATTGTGACAGCCTTTATGGTGGCAACCTCTAAAATGGTCCCCAGTGATCCCTGCCTTCTGATGTTCACACTGTTGTGTAATCCTCCCTACTTTTGCTTCCAATAAATAGAATACAGTAAACATGATGGGATGTCACTTTTACATGGGTTACAAAAACACCCTGACTTTCATCTTTCTCTCAGTCTCTCACTTTCTCACCTGTGTGGAAACAAGCTGTGTCATCTGGGTCACTCTGCCCTATGGAGATATGACAAGGAACTGAGGGAAGCCTCCAGCAACAGCCAGCAGGGAACTGAAGTCCCTAGTCCAACAGTCCCTGAGGAACTGAATCCCACCCATAGCCACATGAGCAAATGTGGATTCTCCCTCAGTTAAGCCTTCAGATGGGAGAGCAGCTCTGGCTGACATCTCAATTACAGCTTCATGAGACCCTGAGCCAGTGATACCCAGCTAAGGAACTGTACACCCAAAAAAGTGAATTTTACTGTAATAATTTTTAATTATGGGAATAATATAGTGTTTCTTAAGAGATACTGTAGCATGCATTTGCACTGAGTTAGACGTAGAAAGTGAAAGGACAGATCAAAGACAGAGCAATTATAATGGAGCCCAATGCTAAGTCGAAAGCTCAGAATAAGCTCAGAATCAAGATACAATCTCTCCAACCACAAATCTCCTGTTTCTGGTAGATTTGTATCAGTAAAATAGTGTATCATCCAACACATGTATTAAGCAAGCATAGATTAGGGACTCTTCAAAAAAGAGTAGGTTAGGTTAAGACTCTTCAAAAAAGAGTAGATTAGGTTAAGAAGCTCTTTTGGGAAGAGAAAAATTAGCGTATATCTGGAGGTCACTGAAGTTTGCTGAAACCATTGGGGCCAGTGAGACTGGTAAGACTCCTTGTTAGATATCATCTCCCATGACAATAACAGACTGATTAAATATAAAAGGGAGATCTCAAAATTCTAAACTGGAAAAGAAAGCGATGTGCAAAATACAAATTGAATTTCATTTCCATATCTACCCTCATACACATAAGCACATCAAGCCAGAGTAGAGCAGCAGAAGGGAACAAGGCAAGACTTCGACCAAATCATCTGTGTTCAAATGCTGACCCCTTGTGTCTACAAGTCATTATATCACGGTATTCTGTACTTAACCATGTGGTTTTTCAGCTCTATTTGTGTAAGCAATAATGAAAGAACCAATGCAAACAAATTTGAAATATAATTCAGCCTGGGGAATTGTACTTGGCACAGAAAATGTGTTGGCTCTGCTTCCATTCACCTCTGCCTACCTGCCATCCACCTGGTAGGTATTAGTCACTTGTTCCATTTCTCCCAAGAAGAAATACAATCATCAGATGCAAATTAAGCCAGCATATCCCCCACAAACTTAAGCAAAAATAAATGAAGACTAAAGGAAAAGTAGAGTATGTTTAATTTCTCACTAGGTCAAGGTCTGATTGTGAGAATAGTCTGATTGTGAGAATATTTACTCAGCCTGCTACCTGATTCGCATTCCTTTGAATCTGAATTCTTTTCATGGCACATGAGCCACTGCTTGCTTTCATGGTTAAGTTAATGTGTGAATTTGCTTCTCACACAATTTGATTGATGTCTTGCTTGGTCTTGGAGAGGTAATGAGATTACCACTTAAAAAATATAACCATTAGTACATGAGAAAAAAAACCATATTTGGAGAAATTGTCAAATGTTGCATTTACTCATCCATTCATTCCACACATTTGAATATATCCATGGCTATAAGAGAATAATCCTTGATTCCTTCCTCATCCCAATGCCCACTTCCCTCCTATACATACAGACTCATCACTAGAAACTATGTCACTCTTCACTATTGCTTTAGGGCTTGCGGTACTAGCCTTTGATATTGTCCCTTGGCCAGTCTTCCTACACACCCAAAATGTAGATTTGACATAAAGCTGCCAGCCTGACAAAGGCAGGACTATTAGTTCTATCAAGGTCACAAGGGTAAGTGTAAAATTACATTCAAGTAGGGGTTACGATCCAATTCCTTCAGTCATTAATTCATTCAACAATTATGTATTAAACATTGGTTTATCTAGACCCTACGATGAATAAACAAAGATGCTTGCCTTCAAGGAGCTCATCTTCCAGCTGAAGGAGACTGATGGTAAATTTAGAGTTAATTAGTGAATCATATAGTGCAGTAGAGCAGGATAAAGTAGATCAGCAGGAAGAGGTATACAATTTTAAATACAGTGTTTGATCAAATTGAAGACATCAACATTTGTAAATCACACCATTATTTTCTGGACCAGTAAGAAAAATAATGCCAATTAAATTGTGCTGCAATGCCTAAAATGGTAGTTCTGTGGCTTTGAAATGCATTTCATAAATCAGCAGGGATCTGGCAATTTCTTCTGCTTTCAGTTGCAATGCTTAGGAAGTTAAAGGCAATCCTTTGTGTGTTTCTCAGTAGCAAAATGAAACTCAGCTTCTTCTCCTTACAGGTAGCCTCCTTAGGCAAGCCCTGTAAAGCACATAGCTGTTGCTTTCAAAGGCAATGTAGAAATGAAAAAAGAAAAGCATGTTAATATTAACATCATTATTTTCAAACTAAACTCCTCTCAACCCCCTAAAAAGGTAGCAAGCACCTTAATTTCAGAAAATAGAACAGAACTTTAAACTGAAAACATTTAACATCATTTTATTAAAAAATCAATAAGTTGTCCTACTTTCTCATTTTCCTATCTTTGGTTAAAGAATTTATTTTGGCTAGGTGCCAGTATTGTGAGATCCATTTGGAAAATTGCAATCTACAGCTGAGGTCTTTAAATTTTTATCTTGTGTACCCCCTAAAAGAATTTTTAAAATCTGTAAATGTGTTTTTTTTTAGTGAGGTTAAAGATTTTCATCATCATTTTAACAATTGCAAACTATGTATGAGTGCATTGTACATGTTGCTATTTTAAAATAAAACTGTTAATAGCTCTTTTTAAAAATATGAAATTGTGATCATTCTTCTAGAAACAAAATATTTCCTTCAATACCAAATGTAAGCTTCATTGCCCTATTCCCACACCTTTCTTCATACACAATAACTTTTTGTCTCAATGCTCAATTACAGTATCATAATTTTAAAGACATTTTAAATGGCAATGGAATCAACTTATGCGGTACCAAAAATGCACATAACTCAGTGAAGCAATGATACTATGAACAAGTACAACAGGATTCCCGTAGGCTCAGGGCGTTTGTGGCATGATTGTGAAACACATCCCATTTTCAGAGATGTGCAAATGTGGGAAATAAAGAATTGAGGAGATATGGCTGGGTGATCTCAATGAGAAGGAGTCATACGGCTAGCTATGAGGGAAGAACCAATCTATGCTAGCTTGCAAGAAAAAGAGAATTCAATTCAATCTTATGTATGGGACTAGCTGCCTTTCCATTTTATAATTAGGGTCTGTCCTTTGACAAGTCTCCAAATAGACCTGAAATATGGACCTGGCTTAAAGGCAGGTAGGCAGAAGCCAGGCAGCAATGCGTCTTCTAAGGACAGTGGTTCTCCAAGAGTGGCTTCCAGATCAGCAGCCCCAGCCTCACCTGAGCACTTGTTCAAAATGTAAATTCTCAGGCCCCAATCCAGCCCCGCTGCATTGGAAAATATGGGGGTGGGCCCAGCACTCTGTTTTAACAATCCCCAGCTGGTTTCCATATGTGCTAAAAGTTGGGGAACCACTGCCTCAAAAACACCCCCAACCAACAATGAAAAAGCAGATGAGTTAAGTTTTTCTGTTTATTTCCTTTTTATTATCCTATTTGTCTATGAAGTCATATTTAAACTTCCAGGCTCTTCCCATGTGTCCTCAGAGGAATTAAGGAAGGAGGCCTGTGTTTGCTTGAGCCAGAATGTCCAGGAGGGCACACCTGGAGGGCATCATGGTGGTGGTGGCGGCAGCCACTCTATATTAGTGAGAATTAGTGAGGAAGAAGAATCTTGGGGAATACAGCCTTGGATTCAGTTTGGTCTCACATTGAGGACTGTACATTACCACCATCACTTGTTAAACTTAGGGGATTTGAGTTGATTTTATCAAGGAATTTTTTTCTAAGGTAAAGGTAATTTTTGGTTGGGAGAAGCTATTAAATCCACGAAATCATATTGTGAGAAAGTTCTTTTCAACTTCCCTGTACTCATCATACTGTCTAGAGAAAGTCTCCATTTAGTGTATTCAACATATCTTTAACACTTAACATAAGGAGAAAAAGATTTAGGCTCAGTGCCGTGGTAGGTTCATGTTCCTAGCTAGAATTCAATAATATTTTATTGTTTTTACCATTACTTCTCTTCCTGGATATCATTTATTATGACAGAGGATACTGGTTTTCCACTTGAAGTCATTATCTGAAAGTTTAATCTAAAGAAAGTTTATTTAAGTAAAACAAGCACCATTTGAAAGAAAAACACCCAGAAAGGGATAATAGAGGTGGTTTAAGGATACAGTATGTAAATGGGAACCACTATATTAAGAAGACTGTGGGTTGTTATCCTGGCACTTACACTAATGAGACTTCAAATTCAAAAAGAAAATTGTTATTTCGAATTTGACCTTCAGGCTGGCTTTCAGGTTTCAAACATAGTATCTTGAGCCTTAGTGAGTTATACACTGATTTGTAAAAAACAAAACAACAAACCAAAACCAAGCAGGGTGGAGGGGTGGGGTGGAGGGTGGGGGGATGGGAGTGGGCAGGAATGAAAGGAGATTGTGATCAAGATTTCTAGAGTAACATTTTTTAAGATGAAAACTTGAATTAAATGTATGGTAAGTGATACTTTCTAATGACAAGGGGACAAATAAGAAGACACAACTCTCCATTACTAAGAGCAATTAAAGTGCAAATAATTCCTTCTGAGAATCATGATTATTTACATGCTGGATACAAATTATCCTTCTGCATAGAATCTCACAGGCATTTGGATTTAAGAAAATCTAGTTTTATTAGTCCTAGGATCAGGATTTCTCTACTGAACTATTTCTGTTAACTGTTTTTCTAACTTCATATGCATCTGAAGTATACTCACTGAAGCTTCCTTAGACAAACATAGCAATGGTAGATTTTGACTATGAATTACAGACTATTTCATGTCCATTATCATTCATTTAGTAACGAGCATCATAAGTTCAGTATATAGACTTACAGCTGTAATGTAAGTTAATTTCTAAATGGAAAATAGTCATAGTATATACTGCGTAGAGCTTGGAGCAAATCTTACAGCTTACTGTTTTGGAAGATGTGAAAGTTTCTTGTAAAGTCAAGTAAATGATAATCAAAGTGGGAAGCAACATCCTCCTTTGAAGGGTGATGCTTCAGTGTGAAGAGGTTATAAACTGGGGTAAACAACAACAGCTCTTAGGCAACAAAGGAGGATTTACCTCGATTCTTCTCTGTTGGCCATTGCTCCTACCGGGACCTGGCAGTCAACGGAGTGAACAAACACATCACGAATATTACTGGATTTCAGAGTCTATTAGGAGCCAACAAGCTGATTCAATCCTTACTAAAAACCCACAGTTCCAAAGATTCAAAGCCAAGATCACTGAATTACTAACTCATTAAAAACGGAAATAAAAATTGAATCAGCCAAAGCAACTCAGAACAAAGATGAAAAACAAGTTAACCATGGTGGGGAGGGTAGGGGGAGAGTGGGGGTTGAGGGCAGAAGGGGCGAGCTGCTTTCAGCATCAAGTTCTTTCTACAAAAGGACCTGAGCTGAAATGAAACAGTTTGCCAGAGGCTTCTAGAGATAAAGGTGGACTCCCGCAGAAAATGTTCCAGATCCTGGGAAGACAACAGCGCAAATTAGATAAGAGTGTATCCTTGTTTAATAGTTGGCATTAGATGCTGCAAAATATAACCTTGAGGTAAATAGCAAAGACATGGCTTTCCTTCTTTCTCTTAATACTGACTGCTTAAAAAATTTTGCCCAGTCATTGTTTCCTGTCCGATTACCATAAAGTCTTTCTGTGATGCTTTCCTCATTGAAAGGCCATGAGTTCAGGCAAGACTTTTAAGTGTCTAGGGGTTGAAGATAGGATCCTAACCCACAGAGCTCAAGGCACTTTGTCTCTTTCCACCTATAGCCTGTCTACCTGTCTCTCTCAGGAACCTAGGAGGGATTCTCAGAGGGCCACCCTGGGGAGATAGCCACACTCAGTTTACTAGGTTTACTGTGTTCTCTGCAGCTTTGGGCTCAGAGGGTCAACTACTCGCTCTACCTGCAAATCAAACACAGAAGAGTTCCTGTCCTCAGCAGGACTCACCTTAGCTCTCCTCCAAGGACAAGTGTATCCATAACTGGTATGGATACACTTGCATTTAACAAGGATATTTGTATTATTTGGCTACATGCCTATGACTTCAAGTTTTATGTTAGGTGTCCTTGTCACTTAAACTCTGGGGCTTTGTCCAGATATAACTGTGTTCTTCCAATGAAACAAATTTAGATCTCTTTGCACTTTTGGGTTTTCCCCCAGCTCACTGTGTGATTTTAGCTTAATCACTTAATTCTCCCACTCTTCCATTTCCCATCTATCATGTGCAATGTTATGACCAATAATTAGTGAATGGCAATAACTTGAACTTACAAAAGGCCTTCCTTCCAGGAAACTCACAATACTTCATGAGGGCTAGTTGGTATCCTTCACAAAACCCCAGTGAGAAACGTTTTGCTTTTTATACTGTTTTTCTACTTGGTTCTATTTTTATAGATGCACCAAGAAGATTAAATAAGTTTCTTGGGGTCGTATGTTATCTTGGTGTCACATATTTTCTTGGTAGCATGTTATCAAAAGCCTTTGATGGTGCTCTTCTGGCAATGCTGTTCAAATCAAGTTGCACAGCTAAAGTACTTAGTGTTGGTAACTGGCAACAATCAAAAACTATAATAATCACCCGTAAAGCTGGAGACCTGGCCCCTCATTATGTTAGCACATATTAGGAAATATGTTTTGCTACTTTTTTCTTCCAGTAATGGTTATTATTTCCCAGTCAAATCCAAGTTCTGTTGCTGTTACTGAAATGGAGCAGAGTGCCCATGAGCCAATGCCTGGCAGTGCACTCCAAGCAGCCTCCACTGTCACAACACAAAAAACCAAACCATCTACAGAGCCAGAATGGCACACAGAGGAAGACAGAAACATGAGAAGTAGCCTTGCCAAAGTCCAAAGGTCTGAGCAAGAACACCAGGAGCCAAGTCTCTAGAGCACAAACAACCAGGCAGAAGGGCTCCCAGGAACAGGATGTTCTGCGGCATTTCCAAAAACCCCTGGCCTCTGGGCACGGCATCCAGAGCTCACCAAGCACCCTCTTCCCAGGGGTTCGCTTCCAGAAAGAGAAATATAATATACTTTGGAATGAGCAGCAAGCTATCCACCAAATCACATTTCTACTTATTGAAAAGTGAATCTCTTTAGACTAAATCTCAGAGCAAAGTTGTTTGGGGGGAGAAGTGATGTGATCAACTTTTCCCACTCCAGACTCAGAGTTCAATACTTTCTATTATCTAAATATACCTGTTTAGGCCTTGTGAGTTACCTATATTGTAACCACTACCTACAGAAATTTACAAGTTCTAATAATACCATAAACAAGGATTACAAAGGAAGAAGGAAGGAAAGAATAGGATAATAAATGAAGCAAAGTATGAAGAAAGCAGAAGTAAAACAGCATAAGGCAGCATATAGCATTAAGTCATAAGTCAAAAAACGATGCAGAGTTTTTGAAACTCTCAAGAATATTTGAAACTGAAATTTGAAGTGCATAAATGCATTTGAAATATGAAAGCAGAATAAAAATAGGTTTGTTGTTTTGTTTGTTGAACGTTTCAACCTAACAGAAGATGATGACAGAACTTCTTAATGATTATGGTCTAACAATTGTTGTGTCATAACTTTCAGGAATAAAAACATGGACACTGTTAGTAAAGTCAAGTCTATTTACTCCTTTCATTTCTCATTCCAAAGCTTTCATCCTAGCTGTGCCTCCAGCAAGGAATGCTGGATAGAGTAGGCTAAGACAGAAAAAAAAAATTAAAAGTTTTCCTTAGCTATAGAAACATAAGGAAAAATTTCAAGTACTAATGTTTTATATGTGTTCAAAATGTTAGAGGTATTCTGTTAGGTTCATGTCTTTGCTAATGCCCAGAGGACTTTGTAAAGACAGACAGTAAACTAATGAAGAGAGAAGTAAAACCATTGATTTGATGTCAGAAATCAAGTCCAAAGATGTCCAGATTTGTAATGAAGAAAAAGGTTCAGGTTGCTGGATTCCCAGCACAGCAGTCCAGCTTTGAACTTGGAGGAGGTAGATGCCAAAGAGGACATTAACATTGAACTCCACAGAAGTGAGCATCATAACCATGGTGCACAGATGTGGCTACCTGCATTACAGAAGATCCAGCTGGTGTCCCCAGATCCCTCCAAACATGTGTGGAATCACAGGAATTCAGACGTCTTGTTTCCTAGCTACTGTGTCCTGAGCTTTGCGGCATCTTACTTCCAGTGTTACTACGGACATAAATGGTGTCCTAATATTTTTTCCCTTTCTTCAGTGTACTATGAAGTTCAATGTCAATTGACATAGTACCATAATAAAGTACATAAAATATAATTTTACCTATAATTCTTTAGTATTATATGAGCATACAGAGACCATAGTTGGTTCTTACCATTAAATGAAAGACTTCCTTTTTTTTCTCTCTTGATTGAAAATAGAAAAGGGGAAACCAGGCTAAAAGGGGTTTGGGTCAGAGCTTAATGGCATATTAGGGTGTCTATGGGTGTGTGTGTGTGGTTGTGTGATTCATTTCCACTCTCATGTCAGAAGAGACCCTTGGAATCAGAGTAAGTTTTACTTTGTTTTAGCTCAGTTTCGCTTTCAGGGTTCTATGATATCAGGGTTAAATTCATCCATTTAAATTGCAAGCCCAAATGTTTTCCAAGTGTCTTTTTTTCAAATATGTTTCATCTAACATTGTAAAGATCAAACGTAAACTCCTAGCTTCTGCAAAACAGCTCTTACCCCAGGGTCTTCCATATTAAATATTTACTGAATTAATGAAACTCTTCCCAGTTTTACTCCTAAAACATACTTTCTGGTGATTCACAGTTTTGAAGTGTGATCTTCTACTACTTGATTAACAGACATGAAATCTAAGTCCTCAGATATTAAAGGAAGAACCGGGACTAAAAGTCACATCTCCTGACTCCAAATTGAGTGTTTTGAGGTCCATCACATGCTTTACCCCAAATCTCTATTCCCAAAGTAAATTAAAAATGTGTGACTCAGAATTAGACATCTGGAAAAGCATTTTGGGGACAAAGAACAGTAATAGTAAATGTCTACAGCAAAACCTCACAAGAAACTGCAGAATGCCTTAACACTGTGGGTTTGATGTGCTCCTTCCAATGGGAACCTCTAGAGGGCAGTCCACTCTTCATAACAGACAAGTTCTGCCGGGTTTACAAGAACTCTGGGAGCGAAAAATCTAAAATGTTTGGCATACTTTCTAACAGCTTTCAATCAAACAGGGCACACAAATATCTCAGGCCCAGTCCAATTTTTGGCTGCGTTGGAGAAGAACGCGACTTAACTATGTATTTAGCTATGGGTTTTTTCTCTTTTTCCCTCTCTCCCTAAGCATGAAGGCTCTAATGTTTAATATGAAATGAACTTGAAACTTCCCTTATAATACTAACCTAATACACTGGAGTAAAACATATTTATTGGTAAATGTGCAAGTAAAGAACAGAAAGAGAACAGAAGACTTGCAGAGAACTACTGCCGGTTGAGAGTTGGAGTCAAAATAGGGGGCAGCGGGTGGTAGGAGCTAAGGTTTAAGAGATAGACAAGGGACAGCCCCAGGAAAGGAGGTTGAATTTCCTTGTGTAGATTCAGAATGACTTTAGCAAGAGAAGGACTGGGTCAGATTACTGTTTTGTATATGAATCATTCAGGTAGCTCTGGAGAGAGAATGGAGTGGGCCAGGTCTAGAAACCAGGAAGCCAATTGAGAGACTGTTATATTGGTCCAGTTAAAAGAAGGTGCATTTGAGATAGGGTAGTGGTGGTAGGAGTGGAGTTGAGAGGATGGGTTTGAGAAATGCATAGGAGGGGAAAACATCAGGATGTAATGATCAGTTGGATAAAGGGAGTGAGGAGAAGAAAAAAGTCAAGGCAGACATTTTATAACTTTTGTCACTGGGTAAAGAGAAGGTAACAGAACAAATAGAGGTTTAGGTTGGAGGGAAGTGATACATGTAGCTTTTGAGCAATTGAATCCGAAATGTCTGAAGAGTGCCCAAGAAAAGCTGCCTAGCAGGTGATGGAATTGGTGAGCCTAAAGCTTGGGGGAGAAATTGGAGATGGAGATTGAACTAGACAGTCATTACTATACAGATGGTAGCTGAAATCCTGAGTGTAGAAAAATCCACCCAAGAAGAGTATCAGTAATGAGAAGAGCGGTAGGCTAAAACAGAAAGGTAGGTAACCCCAGCATGTGGGTGGTAGATGGAGGGAGAGGAGACCATGGTTGGGAAAGAACAGAAACAAATGAGGCAAGCTGAGAGAATATAATATGACTATCATAGAGAGTGAGTGGTGCACACAAGCAACATGGCCAAATGCCCCAGAAACATACAGTGAGACAAAGATTGGAAAATGTCCACTGAATTTTCCAGCTACAATATGGGTGGCCTTACCAAAAGCAGAAGCCAGATTGCAGGGGATGCAGAGTGAATGGCACATGAAGTGGTCACACTGAGTATAGGTAACTCTTTAAAGATGTTTGGATGAAATAGAAGAAGAGATAGGACATCACTAAGAGGACATGGGGGTCAAAGGTAGACTTCTTTTTTAATGAATGGGAAGGAGATGAGTAAGCTTGTAGTCTGAAGAGGACATACCCCTGCAAGAGGAAAGGTGGATGTTTCAAGAGGGAGGATGGCTGTGGAACCTGGTCTTGGCATGTGTAACTGGGGTCGGCCTTGAACAAAAGGAGACAATGCATCTTCTGAAATTGGAGGACGATAATGCAGGGTGTGAGTGGAGCTCTGTTCCTAGGCATGGGTGAGGCAAGAAATGGAAGGCGCTCATGCTCATTTGCCTCTATAGCAGGATAATGAATTTAGATATCATTTTTGATATTGCATTTATACTGTAGCAGAGTCTCCAGTGGATGAACAAGTCAGCCCTTGTATTGTGCGCTCCTGATCTTGCCTCCAAGGGTAAGGATCACTTTTGTGCTTCTAGGTGAAAAACGAGTTTCTGGGACACTGAGGTAGCAGCTCCATCCTAGGCTTTTGTTTGAAGTGGTTATTTAATTGGGATTCTGCAAATAGTCACTACTATGCCTACTGTGTGGCTATATTCATACCTGAGGAAGTGGCATTGTAGTTGAAGGAAGTGAGTGACAGGACCGTGGGGGTGACTTTTCTGGAACAGAGAAAGGGGCCAGTGGCAGAAAGTTGTGCAGCAGGCTGAAAACCAGGCCCTTCCAATACAGTTCCCTGAAGATGGCAGAACCTCCGATGGTGTGGCTTATAGATGTGCAGGGTCCTGAGTTTCCCAGTAGTGAGAACCAGGCCACCTCACCCAAGTTGCACTAGGGGTGGAGGTGGGTGGGTGGGCTTAGGAATAGAACCTCCAGCCTTTAAATGGACCTTTCTGGCCCAGCCAATAAACAACTAAGCAGTGACTGTGATAGGCTAGAGAAAAGAGGTCTCTCCTAGAATTTTCTGCACTGAGCAATCCTCCAAGGATGCCTGACTGCCTCTGGAGAGCAGAACCTCCAATAATGACTGCTACTGACCCTTGCCACACTCTGGAGGGAGAATTTCAAACTTGAATTAACAATGAACAACAACAAAACTGTGCTATATGACATTTCTTGCACCTGAGTATTATAAAGAAACTTCAGCCCTAATACAACTCAATTTTCTGAACAAAGTAGGTAGCAAGTTTGCTAATAGTGAGGAGCATATGAAATGGGTGTTGAAGTGAGGGTCTGAGACCCATAAAAATATTTTTAAAATATAGAGTCTTGGACTTACGAACTCAAAGAATGTTGATGTTGGAAGGGACCTGCTGCTTGCTCCAGTTGAAGCTGCACTGTACTCCTTTTGCATGTATTTTTAAAATCAGAATAAATGAAGCTCAGAGAGGCTAAGGGTTGCATGTAACGCCACACAGCTTAGCAGAGCTTCAGCCTGTTCTCTCTCATTTTGCCTTCAGTTGGAACAGACACCCTTTCCAGAGCCTCCCTGAGCAATCACTGTGCTGAGTACACCCCTCGCCCACCAGTATTGCTCCGCACAGAGGCCTCCCCAACTCCAGGTCTCACCACAGAAGCTTGAGCAGTCCAGTTCCCTACCCACAGCTGACCTCCAACAGCAGGAAGAAGGAGCTTCAGCTTTGGACCTGGTCCCTGGCCCCACCTGACTCCAGGAGGCTGCCCAGATCAGAACAGGGAGGATGCTGGTTTCAGTCGGGAAGACCAAGCAAGAAAAAAAAGGTGAGAAGGCTCATGGGGCCCCATTCCTTTCCATTCACTTCACTCACACAGGAGGAAACTGAGGCCTCCCAGCAGGTCAGAGACTTGCCCGGCCACCTAGGGCGTCTAAGTCAACAGGAAAAGGCTGCTCATTCTGGTTTTTCTTTTTCCAAGCCTCTTTTCCAAACATAGAGCTCCTCATCTGACCGTGCAGAAAACAGCAAAAGCCTCCCTGTATTAAAGTCCCACCAGGAACACACTGTACAGGTCACTCTAACTCGGGCACACACTGAGTCCTGGAAGTGCAGACAGAGCCAGAGGAGCCCCAAGCCCCTGCCCCTGTTAACTGGGTCACCGCTTCACACCGAGAAGTGGGAGGGGAAAGGCAACAATTTGCACTTCGTTGATGGGATATTAATGGAATCAGGGAATGGCAAGGAGAGACGCTATAAAAAGACAAGAACTTCTTCCCTTATAAAATTGGCAGCTCAAGCCCCAGGTCCTTAAAGAGAGAAAGGACAAACAACAAGGACCAAGGCAGCAATCAGCACGCTGAGCGATAGTGGCCAAAAGGAAACCACCTGGCTGGAGTCAAAGGTACAGATGGAACCCAAGCCAGGAGACCAATTTGTGTGGAGGAGGGAAAAACAGGGCTGGGCAGAGCCAGAAAAGGCTGTTAGGATACCTTTACAGCAAACTCAAGCCTCAATGGGGTGTATGTGAAGGCGTGGGACAGCTCGGCAGGTCCTTGTGGAGCTGCTAAGGAACCTATGCAGTGTCAGCAGTTTGAAGTGTTAGCCGGACAGTTTTCTTCATTATCCTCCCCCTGACTTGCACCTAGAGATAAAACTACCCCATCATGTCACATTTGTAGACGTCCATGTCGTCGCTCTGTCCTCAAGTTTGGACTCACATCTCAGTTTCTGGGACTTGTAAGAACAGGTATCTCAAAGGAAGGCACAATATTCTGCATGCAACATGATTTTAGACGTACACAACCATTTTTATTTTAATATATTTTTATCATCACCCACTACTTAGGATAAGCAATATTAATTTTATTTATCATTTAAAAATTTACTAAAGTAAAAAAAAAAAGCCGAAATCAATTTAAAGAAAGAAAAGTATTCCAGCAAAATTAATGAAGGTGATACACAACAGCCATAAGTCTGGGAAACGCTGCTCAAGGTACTCCCAAACAAGGGGCAACATTGGCTGCAGAATGAGCTGTGTCTCACCATGAGCCTGAAGGAAAAATACAAGGCTGAAACATGGTCTTATAATAAATGGTGTGAATTCTCCTACCCTCCGTGGCTACCCCTGAGGTTTGTTTTGTTTTGTTTGTTTTGGGAGAAGAAGGCTTTTATTGATCTCTTGTATAAACTTTCCAGATGGGCATATTTGATTTTCCTCTTTTACAACTGGGGGACTCTGAGGCCTCCTTTATCCCAGATCACTTACAGAGCCAGTGATTAGGTGAGCCATGAGGGGCTTCTGGCTCCTAACAAAGTTCTCTTATAGAAGAAGCAGAAAAGTGTCAGGAGTGACTGTTCCACCTTCTGCCAATGACATGTTGACTGTGTGATAAGAAACAAACTTTGGCCCATGAATGATTATATCCCCATCTTTCCTCTCCATATCACTATCATCTAAGGCTGAAAAAGCAAAACCAGTTAGACAAGGATTTAATCCATAGTAATCTCTGCATTGAAAAGCCTTCCAAATCTGTGACATTTCTGTCTATAAACCCACCAGGCAGGGATAGTGCCAGGATAAAGATGAGATTCAGTAAATATGTAATGTTGTCAACAAAATAATCTCCTTAAACTCTGACCTTTGATTCAGCTAGTTACTTGCAGAAAATAAATAAAAACATATTTAAAAAGCATGTTTTTATATGCTGGTGAGTATATAAAAACAAGGAGAATAAACTGCAATACAGCATGAGCTGATTGATTGAACTGAAAAACAGGAATGATTTGGTGTTTTGCCTAAAATAACTGAAAACATGAATGATGTAGTATTTTTGTTTAAAATAACTGAAATGTTTTTCAACAAGTTGATTGAGTTCATTACTGCTGTTGGTACAGGCTCTGCCTGTGTTTCCCGGTTGCATAACTTAGAAGTGGGGGATGCCACATACTTCCCCTTTGTCATCTTCTCCTACCTCCTCCTTCGGTTTGGTTTCATGGAGTTCTGTGTGTAAGAAAGGGAACAAGAGTAACGGAGGTAATCTGACATTTAAGGAAAGATAAAGGAGAACTAGATGTGGAATCATTAAACTGGGTTTTAGTCTCTTCCCCTGGTCCTCAGTTTTCTCATGTGTAAAATAAGGTGATAGGACTCCTGAGTCAAGGTTTCTTAACCTGTAGTCCACACCCTCAGCTACATAAACCTTCTAAAACTGAACATAAAAATCTTTCCTGGAAATGGAATCCATAATTTTTATCTGATTTGCAAGTGTCATCAACTGTTGTCCTAGATTATTTTTAAGGTCACTTCCTGATCTAGTATTTTATTATTGTCACAGGCAGAAAATCCCAGCAGATATGCAGTGGCATGGATCCAAGTGACAGAGATGAGCACAGAAGTTACTGCTTTCCTTATTCCTCTCCTGATGCTGAGCACCCATGACTCTTCACCCTCTCCCGAAGTCACTCCAGGGTCCACACACTCATACATAATGGGCTACCTTCTCAAAAGAAGGGAACCCTGGGTTCAGAACACAAGACATAATACCTTTGCTGTTATGAAATCATGAAAGAATTCTTGGATGTTCACAAACTAGATTTGCCCAGCTCCCACAACATCTTATTTTCATTAGCTTTGACTAAAGGGAAAATTCCTCGTGACACTGTCAAGGGAAGCTTTAGAGCGACTGAAGTCATATGCTGATTGTTAGAAGCTTCTTAAAAGCATGATTTTCGTTGCCATCTAAATGTATAGAGGCTGATAAACTGCATAGGAACTGGGGAAAAAGGGGTGAGAAGAAGTAATAATAAAACGACGAGCTATTGAAAAGGTGTGACCATTAAAAAATCCCCAACTGATACATTTGTCCATAAAATGAAGCCCCTTGAGACATCACCATGTTTCCTCTGTTCTTACTAAGCTAAGTGAGAGGTGAGTGGGCACTGAACCTTCTCCCTTCCTCACTGACACAGAGATGGTGGGGGAAGCCAAGGGGAAGCACCTCTCTTCTGTCCACATCTTGGAGTCTGGCTAACTCTTACCAAACAAGGGAGAAAATATGTCTTAGGTGGAACCATATAAAACTGCCATCTTTGTAAATGGTCTTTTTAAATGGTTTTTTAAAAAACCATCTTTTTAAAAAATGGTCAAATATCAGCAATTTCATATGGTTCAACTATGCAATATCTCCAAAGCAGGACATCCTAACCATTTGGGTAATGACAAGGTGTTCCTGACTCATTGTTCTTTGGCAGAAATGACTAACTCTGGAGAAAAAGACAAGAGATGGGTAATTCACTGTGAAATCAAGTTGGCCCATTCTTAATGATTAAAATAATGTCCTAAAAAGACAGAAATGTTTAACTTCCAAGATATCTTTTAAACCAACCCAGAAAATAGAGTTATGCTTCTTACAGAATTCAATTTAACAAATCTCTGCTCAGAGCCTAATTTGCACAAAGCACAGACTGCTGAATATAGGAATATTTGCAGAGTTTCTTGAGATTAATCTGATAGTGAGGGAGAAATCCTTCAATACATGGAGAATAGCTAATGCCACAGGAATTATTTGTTAACAAAGAAAGGCATCTGGGTCATCAGCACCATTTCTGAAATTGTTAAATCTTGACAGTAACGATTACAGCTTTGTTAGGAGCAGAAAATGTCAGGAGCATAAAGAGTAGCCTGACTTCTCATGTTAGTGCTACTGGACATGAGGCCTTCTAAAGAAAGCAATAATGCAGTAAAATAAGACTCTGGCTTTGTTATTTCTAGCTGCAGCTCCCCAGGGAAACTGGGCAGTGGGGCCTATGTTCTAGGGGGGATCCCTGTAAAATTTACAGCATCTGTGGGCAGGAGCAGGGCTCCTGTTGATTGACATTCCTAGCAAGGCCCATCTGTTTGTTCAGCTTTTTCCTGAGGGAGCCAGAAAGGGCTTGCTTCAGTTTCTTATAATGAGTTGAAATTCCTAATAAGAGAAAGCTTTGTGGTTGAGTCAAAATATTAAGAGAAGTAATATGCTGACATTTTAAAATTCACAACTTTCACCAATTTAAAAGCACACGTTATCACACTGTTTTCTTAACATTTCTCTTCCTGGTGCAAAAGTGAGGCTAATTGCACTCTTGCACATACCCAAGTGGTTTCAGAGAGGATCCAGGGTCTCCACTGGACCCTCAGTTATCAATGAATCCACAAGCATTACTGCTACTAATAGAAGATGATAGATAGTAATAATAATAAGCTTGTAATAATAAGGCCAGCTAAAACTTTATGCCAAGAAAGAAAATTTAAGATATGATTCTTGCCATATGGGTTGGAGAAAAAGAATTCATAAATTATTTTAAAAGTTACTAAATAAAACACAGTTAGGACATTCTTCATAATTTCAAAATATACCATATGAATAATAAATGCCATAGGGCTAAGGAGAAAGGGAATCTCAGATGGAAACTGGAGGGGTCTGGAAATAACTGAGGAGGCAGAGCTTTACCTGATGATTTCTTGTTTTGCTTCGCTTTTCCACAATGAGAAAGGGAAGGTAAGTTATACCCAGTGAAGAACCAGGATCAAGAAGCAGGAAATGGCATGATAGTTAGAGCATAGAAGAGCTTGGCTGGAAATGAAGGGTCAAATATTTTTCTTGGAGGAGATAAAACCTAACTAACTCAAGTCTTAAGTCAGATGGTCTGAAATGCTATTGCAGGTCATGTCACATCTTTTCTTGCAGTGAGCGAGTGAGAAAGACTGATGGTTTGTCAATCTTTTTCTCCATTAAAATAACTGGCACCGAATCTGCCTTGATTTCTGCTCCTCTGAAAAGTGTACACAAACGCCCAGAAAGGAAACCTAGTAGCAAATGGATATTCAGTTCTATAGCCATGTCACAAGGAGAGAGAGAGAGAGAGAGAGAGAGAGAGAGAGAGAGAGAGAGAGAGAGGGAGAGAGAAGGAAAGACAGAGAAAAAAGCAAGCTAAATTCATTGTTAATGCTTCTGACCTGCAAAAACAAATCAGAAGATAACTCCATCCAGTGCAATAAAACACTCATCCAGGCCTTCTGGGCAATTCCCTGGGATTTGGGAACCCAGTAAGTGGCCTGATGGAGCTGACAGATGCCATGAGTTTTTAACATTTTTCAGAAGAGCAGTTAGAAAGAAATAGTACCTGGGATCTTTAATCGTCAATGAAAATGCCAAGGAAAGCCCAGCTTCACAAGAATGAAAGCAGCAAAAGAATAAACAAAAGTTGATTATTTCAACCAAAGCTACATGTGTCCTCATTTCAGAACCAGTTGAGTTGCTGGTAGAGATCTGGGCTCATTAGGGGCATCTGGTGGAGGAAGCCGGATGGCAGGAAAGCAGAATAATCATCTTCATAATCACTAAGATTTGTACAGCACTTTACAAATTGTAAGGCACTTCCAAATATATGATGTAATTTAAAATGCCCAAGGCTGAGTGAGATCAACAGAGTGAGTGTTATCCTCATTATAAATACACAGAAGCTGCTGGTGCATAAGGGACTGCCCTAAGTTATCCCTAGAGTGAGTTGTTGAATCGCTCTTCTGATCTCTGATCCATTGGTCACAGAATTGTCTTCTCTACCTTAGAAGCACAACACAGTTAAAAGACACATGCGAAGAAAACCTTCTCGTTTATTTTGTGCTAACCCAAGATGTCTCTAAGTGTCTTGAAAACTTTATTACTGATTCTAAAATTATATTTTCAGCCCATTATTCCACTGAGTGTTGGGGGTCACTCTGCCGTTTTCAAGGGGAGAGAATTAACGTCCTAAAATACTATTTGTAAATCATGAATTAACATCTTTCCTGTAAAAAGGATGGCACTGGTTAGCTACCATTCTTGAGAGAAATGAGAAAATAGTTCCTCAAATAATTTTCTGTGTTCTGTAGATTGAATAAGGATCCCAGTAGTATACTTTATCTTTGAAGGAGGAATCCCTTGGGGATCAGAAGGCAGTATCATGCTTTTTTCTCTTGTGTGGCTACTGCAATAAAAGTCATGATAATGATAACAATTACCATTTATTGAGAAGTCACTATATGCGAAAAACTGTAGTAAGTCCTTTACACACACTACCTGATCTAATCCTTACAACAAATTTGAGATTCAGGTGTTATTATTATTACCACTTTACAGATGACAAATGTGAAACTCAGGAAAGTCAAATAACCTTGTCCAAAGTCATACACGGAATAAGAAACAGAACTGAAATTAAACTGAGATCAGTTTCACTCCAAAACCATCCCCTTGCCCATGATATGCTCTCATTATAGATGGCAAACTTTACCATTTCCATTGCTGCACAAGGTGATTGCTTCTGCTCCATCCCCCTTCAACCGTTCCAGAGAAGGAACAGCTACCACTTCTGAGCAGACGGATAAAAACACTGGTTAAGTAACAAATTGGCCCCTGACATTTGAATCAGTGTTGAAACCTAAAATAAGTATAACATCATAAATCATAGAAGAATAGAACTTGGTGAAATCTCAAGTGATCATGAACTCTATTCATAATCATTCAATTAACACACTCACTGAGAATCTGCTGTGTGCCAGATAATGCGACAGATGCTGAAGACAAAAAAAAAAAAAAAAAAAAAAAATGAAAAGCCATAGTTCCTGCCTTTGAGTAATTTACATTTTTAAAGGAAATACAGGCCTGCAAACAAACAATGGCAATACCGTTAACAAGTATAATAATGAGGTACGTACAAATTAAAGAGGGGGCCCAGTGAAGAGAATGATCAACAGTTTGGGGTTCCAAAAAAGCTTTCTAGAAAAAGATGCTTGAGCTGGGTCTTAAAGTAGGAATAGGAGTTTGACAGATAAAATTATGTGGGAATGATACTCCAAGAAAAGAAGAGGAGAACATTCAAAGCCATGGGATATAAAAACACATGTAATGGGGACCTGTGAATAGTTCAACATCGCTAAAGTTTAGGATGAGAGTAAGGGTAGTAGAGACATTAGACTAATGAGGCTTGTCATGGAGGACCTTGTAGGTCATTCAACGTGAGATGATATGCCATTGAAATCAGAAGGGAGATTACCACAATAGATTGGGAAAGGGTGGACTAGGAACTCAGCAAAGCAGCAGCACCAGAAGAAATGGGTTAAAGAGGAAAGGTAATAAGGGAACCAAATCAACATAAGTTAACTTAATGACTGATTAGATGAGACAGTTTGGCAGGTAATAGGGGGTGGGGAAAAGTCATGTGGATGATATCCAAGTTCTTGGTTTGGTTGGATGACTGAACGAGCAAGTTGGGTGAAAAGACAAGGTATTCCGTTGGGAATAGTTTGAGATGGTATCTGTAGCACACCGTTGGTGAATGTTCTGCAGACCCTTAGATATGTGGAGAGACTTAATGTATCATGTGGATCGCCAAGTTGGGTCTTTGTATACCCAGCCAAAACAGAAATCTACCCATTGGTGCCATCTACCCATTTGTGCCATTTTCCTCACCATGAAAGACATTGGCATTGTTAATTTATATTGCTTCTTTCTAAGAGATCGGAGGCTGGGTGCGGTGGCTCACATCTGTAATCCGAGCACCTCGGGAAGCCAAGACAGGCAGATTATTTGAGCTTAGGAGTTTGAGACCAGCCTGGACAACATGGTGAAGCCCTGTCTCCACAAAAAATACAAAACTTAGCCGGACGTGGTAGCATGCACCTGTAGTCCCAGCTACTTGGGAGGCTGAAGTGGGAGGATGGCTTGAGCCTGGGAGGTGGAGATTTCAGTGAGCTCAGATCACACCACTGCACTCCAGCCTGGGCAACAGAGCGAGTCTCCGTCTCAAAAAATAAATAAATAAATAAAATAAATAAATAAAAAAATAAAAGAAAGAAAAAGGAAGAAAGAAAAGAAAGAAGGAAAGAAAGAGAGAAAGAAAGAAAAGAAAGAAAGAAAGAAAGAAGAAAGAAAAGAAAGAAAGATTGATTGATTGCTTGGAGCTGATTTTACATCCCAAATTTATTTATATGCCTGCAAATAAGCATGCATAGGAATTCTCTAACTCTCTTTTTTAATAGAGATTCTAGTCTTCAGCTTTAGTTTCCTACCAATCAACCATTTTATTTTATTTTATTTTTGAGACAGGCTCTCACTCTGTCACCCAGTCTGGAGTGGAGTGGTGTGATCTCAGGTAACCGCAACCTCTACCTCCCGGGCCCAAGAATTCTCCCACCTCAGCTTCTCAGGTAACTGAGATTACAGGTGCTCACCACCATACCCAGCTAATTTTTGTATTTTTAGTAGAGACGAGGTTTCACCATGTTGGCAAGGCTAGTCTTGAACTCCTGAGCTCAAGTGATTCACCCACTTCGGCATCCCAAAGGTTTGGGATTACAGGCATGAGTCACTGTGCCTGGCAACCAATCAACCATTTCTTATACAAATATAGAAAGGATCATATGGAACAATGACCAACTTATATATAAGAACCTGTTTACTCTTGTCACTTCATAAAACTTAAGTGGAACCTGGGGAAAAAGGTAAGGGTTATAGTAGTGTACCTTGTCATGAAGAAAAAAAAAATGAGTTCTCAAATAACACACATTAAGAGACTATTTTTGTATATAAAAGCTTGACCATTTTTTAAAATGTTTAATTGGGTATCAGGTCCTTAGGGTGCAGTGTTACAATAAAAACCTTGAAAAACTAAAATACATTCATATTAATGTTTTCTCCTCATAAATGCCTTGAATTACAAATAAAGAATTACCACAAGATGAAATGAGGAGGAACATTCCTTCTATTTTAAAGACTAAAGAGTGAAGGTAGGGAGGAAATGAACTGATATGTCTCATGTGTGTCTAAGTAGGCAAGAAAGGCTAAGGGAGAATTGTTAAAGGACATTCTAATTACGATTAGGATAAAGGCCAGTTCAGCTAAGCAGTCACATCTGGCTTCTAGTGATACCATTCTACATAATGGAAATAATAAGTTAAGGTAGTAAGATTGTTGGAGTCTCTTGTGAATATTAGACGTATTTCCTCAGTGAGTCAGACTTAGAATGTCAGAGAGATCAATTTATGTGATTACAATTAATAAGGTAATTAAGAAATGGAGACAGCTCAAGAGGATATTGCCTGATAATTAATAACCAGCTGGAAAGGATAAGGGTCCTAGGGAATGGTGAATTAAATAAAGATCAGCTTGGAGAATTTCTATCAATAAGATATGGGCTATTTTTTAAGGCAGTCAGGGTTAGTATCTGAAGGCCATCTGCTAAAAAATAAAACTCTAATTAACAGGATTTTTGGAATTTCATGTCCTATAACATTTTAGAGAGGCCAGAAAGAAGGACAGAAATAGGCAGGGAGAAGGAAAGAAGAAAGAAGGTCAGAAATAGGCAAGGAGAAGGTAAAGGAGAACTGCACTGTTCATGGAAAAGAGCACGTGGTCTAGAGGGAAGGACCCAGTTCTACCTCCACCTCTGCCAGAGATGAGCTGTGTTAACCGGAAGGAAGCACTTCTCTTCAGGGCCCCTGGTTTCTTCATTTATAAAATGAGATGATTGAACTGTATAGCCTCTATGGTTCCCTGTAGCTCTGAAATTTGAATTATAAACACAGGTCCTTAACAATGACAACCCTTAAAAACTAAAAATGAACACTTGGGCCAGAACAATAAGTGGTCATTTTTGGCTATTGCTATTGACTAGATACCAACAAGCATCAAAGCTCCTGACTTTAAAGAAAAAAATTAAAAAGAAAAATATGGAAGGAATTGTCCCATTTTCTTAAGTCATGCACCTGAAAATAGCAATGAAAAATAAAGCAAGGGACTATGGTTTATTTTTCTTTGCAGCTCCCGATACTTGTAACCAGATAATTTATGGTTACAGGAGGTCTAGCTACAACTATTGACAAAATACCCCTTGTCATAAGAAACAACATAAAGCATTCACCTCAAAGCTCAATCCCCTCAGTGACAATGTTCTCTGGAAACCAAAGCTTAAAAATCCCTGTAACTTGTTAAACTAGGAATTGTCCTTGCTAATCAGACACTCTGGTGGTTAGGTAAAAACATCTTTGAAAAAAGGCACCAAATGTGTTATGTACACAGAGACAAGTGACAGAACAGACAGCTGCTTGCTGGGACCTCAATTTACCTCCCACTTCTCCAAAAGGCTTCAATACCTGAACATCGACTGAAGTTTCTAGGCTGAAGTTTACACAAATGGAACTGAAGGGTCAGAGCAGAGAGTTGCAAAAGTCAATTTTCCTCAGGCCAAAAAGCAAGGTAGGCAGGTTAAGCAGGGAGGGGACAAAAGCCTTCATGCCACCGTATACTCACCCAGAACAAAACAAAAGCAACATGTGGGAAGAATAATGGCAGAAGTAAGGGAAGAGTCCCTTTCTCCTCCTTATAAGCCCACCATACTGGGAGAATGCAATGTAAGGGTGAAGAAAGCAGCTACCTCTGGTTTCTACCATCATCAGTGTAGTAGTGGAGTTGGGGGAAAGCATTTTACAAAATCTAGTAATTTTCTGATATGTTGAGGCAATGTGGGGTTATTTAGAACTTGAATATAAAGATATCAGAAGCTGCGGCAGGAAAACACGCAACTGAGAGAAACAAAAAAGCAAACAATGGGGTCTCTTTCAAAGTTTCTGCCCCTGTCCCCTTGTTCTCCTCTGGGCCAGAAGCTCCTGCACATTTGGGTGGATGGGAAGGCCTGAAACATCTAATTGCTGGGCCCTTCCCAAGGGTCTCAGATGGCATGTTCTCTCTTCTCCACAAGCACCTAGGCACCAGAAAAGCTGCATAAGAATGAACAGCAAGGCATTTTCAAAGGGGAAAACAAGAGTCATTCAGTGACAGGCAGCTTGTCAAGCAGGTGTAAATAGATAAGGGCTGTGGCTCCCGGTTGGAGAGGGATGATGGGCAGGCTGTGAGGCAGGAGGTAAAGTTCATTGTTGGTGTCCCTACAAATGACCGTAGCACTTTCCTCACCTCTGGCAAGGCTCTCTTCTCTGGGATTCCTTACACAGCGTACCAGCCTCTGTAGCACCCTCAGGGCCAACCAAGCAGCCTCCCAAAATGTAGCTGAAGAATCACAATTCCCAACTCTGAGGTTCTACTTGTATTCTTGTTTCCCAAGTTAAGCAGTGATGTAAATTCCAAGAGTAGACCACCAAATAAATTGGGCACACCAGATAAAATAGACTCCCTTCTATGGATACTGCACATCAAAGGGAACCCATTCTTTCAGGCCCCAAGGAGTAGAAGAATTATTTTGGCAATAGACAGTTTGAAAGGATTGTAGTTTGTGATTAATTATTTAAATCCCAAGTATTTAACCTAAGACATCCAGATAGGTAATCAGTGAATAAAGCTCTTGTTGGGTTTGTGTCATTTTGTTTAACAAAGCAGTTTACTTGGAGAAGGGAGATACCATAGCATGGCATTATACAGAAATAATAACAATGGACCTGAAGTCACCTAGAAGAGCAGCCATGATAAATAGAGTTAAATATACTCACCAGGACATCTGTATGTCATGCTTACATTTTTCTTTATAACTCAAACGTTTTATAATGTGGAAAGAGTAACAAGCTAAGAATTCAAATCTAGCTTCCAGTTCAAGCTCTGTCACTAGCCAGTTATGTGATCTTGGGCAATTTGCCTCCTTGGGACTCAGTTTTCTTACCTATAAAATGAGGACACTGGTGACTTGTAAAATTCCTTCAAGAGCCAATTAATGGCCCAATAATCTTGGACCATGATTATAAGAATGCTCTTTTAGAAGAAAAGAACATTCCAGTCTGGTCAGAAATTTCAAGACAACCATCCAGACACACTTTGCCAATTATTCATCACTATGACACTTTGAGCCTAAGAAGGCAGCAGTATTAATGTGTCAGAATATGCAATACTGTTTTATGAGTTTGCAGGCTCTAACAAAGTGGTTATCAACCAGAAGCCATTCTCACTGCCTCAGGCAGGAGACACCAGTCAATGTCTGGAGACATTTTTGGTTGTCACAGTTGGAGTGGGGTTGGGGTGTAAGAGGCTGAGGAGTGGGAGGATGTTACTGGCATCTAGAAAGTGGAGGCCAGGGCTGCTTTTAAACATCCTATAACGCACAGGACAGTCTCCACCACAAAAAATTATCTGGTCCCAAATGTCACTAGGGCCGAGGTGGAGCTCTATGAATATAATGGCTAGGCAGATAGCTGAGTGATGAAACAGGTAGGTAACCTGGAGAGATAAGCACTCTCACCTTTACCAGGCTGTGCCCATGTAAGGATGAGGACCTGCTGCTGCAATCCTCCATTTCCTCCTGTCATCAATCTAGATTTTGTAGGAACTCATCTGACTTCTGAATCATGGCGACGACTCACCAATTATTTTAACATATTAAATTTCTGGGGGAAGGGGGACTATCAGATTCAGACTGCAGGCTGCTGGTGTGCCACCTCTGTTTTAAGTCTTAGATGGCAGACACCCAACTGCATCCCCCTAGCCTGCAAGAGAAATTGTTCAAAGGAAACATGGCCACTTGAACTATTCTGCAATTCTATGAGGTTAAATAGTTTTTCAGGGGCAAGGGACTGTCTATTGTACAACTAGGAAAAACATGCAGTGAGTGATGAGGAGCAGCAAGTTAAATGTGTTTTTCTTATTCAATCTTGAATTTAGCCTATATTCAGGTTTTGTTTATGTTAATGCCAACTTGATTTTCTCTTCCTTTAAGTCAGATTTAATCCAGGAGCCCCAGTGCTGCTCAGAGGAAATCAAGCAAAAGCCGACCGGGCACGGTGACTCACGCCTGTAATCCCAACACTTTGGGAGGCTGAGGCGGGCGGATCACCTGAGGTCAGGAGCTCAAGACCAGCCTGGCCAACATGGTGAAACCCCATCTCTACTAAAAATACAAAAATTGGCCGGGTGTGGTGGCAGGCGCCTATAATCCCAGCTACTCGGGAGGCTTAGGCAGGAGAATTGCTCGAACCCAGGAGGCAGAGGTTGCAGTGAGCTGAGATCATGCCATTGCACTCCAGTCTGGGAACCTGGGCAAAAATTCCATCTCAAAAAAAAAAAAAAAAAAAAAAAAAAGCAAAAGCCTTTCCAAAAGAGGCCACAGCCTTTTTAATGAGCTGTCAGTCTCAGCTGCTTTGAATGCTGTAACTTTCTTAGGAGGAGTAGTTACTGCAGAGCCCTCATGTTTCACCAGGGCATGAAATGTGAAGGCTCCAGAAACATTTGTTTTTCAGCAGGGCGACACAGGGATTCAACAGATCTCTGCTATGAGGAGCCTGGTTAGATATGAAGGGGTGTCAACACCTTTCCTCACTACTTCCTTTTGGGATCTTTGCTATGCCTAGTAGTGAGGAAAGGTGTTGACACCTCTTCATATCTAACTAGGCTCCTCACTGGTATCATTAATTAAAAACCACCCGGCTGGCCCTGGACTTCTCACTGCTCATTGATGGAAATTTTATCTGGCCTTTTTCTAGGTTCAGACACCTGACTTGGACAGCAGACACTCACTTTAGAGCACCTGGCATGGACTTTCTCAAATAACTAAATAGTGATTCCGTTTTCTATCACCTAATATCATCTGGAAGTTCTAGAACCCAAAAGTGAGGTTGCTTACTGGTAACTTTGAAGAGAAGGTAACAATACATTATGGTTTCTAAAGCACTTTCAGCTCATCTCACATTGTTTTCACATCTATTGTGACTGTGATACACAGAGCACGCCTGTGAAGTCTGTAGGATTGGTCTTACTATTCACATTTCATTGATAGCACAACTAACCTATATAACAACCCATGGGGAAGGTAGTGTAGCATAGATTATGGAGCAGATTGCCTGGGTTCAAATCCCTGGGTTCAAAGTTGTTTCTTATCAACTGTACAAGCTTGGACAAGTTTATTTTTCTGTGTTTCATTTTCATCATCTGCAAAATGAGAATAATAGCATTTACCTGATATGGTTTGGATGTGCATCCCCTCCCAGTCTCATGTTGAAATGTGATCCCCAATGTTGCAGATGGAGCTTGGTGGGAGGTGTTTTGGTCACGGAGGCAGATTCCTTGTGAATGTCTTGGTGCTGTTCTTGAAGTAATGAGTGATTTCTCACTCTGTTAGTTCACATGAGAGTTAGTTGTTTAACAGAGCCTGGCATCTCTCTTGCTCCCTCTCTTGCCATGTGACATGCCTGCTTCCCCTTCACCTTCTGCCATAATTATAAGCTTCCTGAGGCCTCATAAGAAGTCAAACAGATGCTGGTGCCATGCTTCTACAGCCTGCAGAACCATGAGCCAAATAAATGTCTTTTCTTTATAAATTACCCAGTCTTAGGTATTCCTTTATAGCAATGCAAAATGTACTAACACACTACCTCATAGGGTTGTCATGAGACTTAAAAGAGTAAATATATATGTAAAGTACTTAGGAAATGGCCTGGCACAAAGTAAACACTGTAGCATTAACTACTAATGTCATTTTCCAGAAGAGGAAACCAAACTACTAGATATTCCTGGCAGTCTGACAGCTGGGAACAGACTCAACCATTTTACTGTCACTCAATGAAGAAATCAACAAGCAAAGTGCGGAGTGATATGTCAGTTGCCCATCATGCAAGGGGGACATTGAGAATTTGAAACCTTGGTCCCTTGACTTCAGATGCAGTGTCTTTCCATCTCACCATGTGGCCTTGGGTATGATAGCATGCCTGGGAGAACAAGCAATGAAGGTGTAAAGATGTATGCAACACAGCAACTTGTTATATCTTACTTTGAACAGTACCAAGAAAGCCTTCATGGAGTGCTGAAGTATATGAAGACTATGGCCCTCTGGAACCAAAAGCTGTGGGAGCAAGAATAAAATTAATCAGTCCAGAAACACAGTTCCTGAAAACTTGTGGAGCTATCACCATTATCTCTGAAATGTGTGTGCCAATACATCGGCAAAAAGCATTCACTTCCCATAGAAGGTTCTTTGAGTTCGGTTAAACATACCAGGCTGAGCTGGAAGTGAAAATAATTGCCTACTCCAGCACTGGAGAGTTTCAAATACATAGCAACTTGCTGGGTGTCCAGAAATTGATCACTTCATCATCCAGCAATCCAGCCAGGGGAGCAATTGCTCCAGTAGGAAGGTTAACAGGCAAGAAAATGAATCAGCGTCTTATGGTTACAAATATGTTTTTGCTGCTCTCACTACAAATTGCTGTGATTTTTTTTTAAGTTCAGATGCCTAGATATTTTACTGCTCAGGCTATCAAGCCATTGAGCTATTGTTACAACAACTGACCACGCCATGATAGCATTATCATAGCTGTTTTTCTGTTGTTGTGTGGTCAGCATTATGGATTGGGAATAAATTTGAGCTATTTGCTGATCTGCTTTCCAGGATGCAGCATTATTGGCTCTGAAGGAGCTTTAGCTTTGTAGTCTGTGGATGCATATTGAGAATAATATCAGGGTGCAGATGTTACCAAACCTTTATATGTTTGGTTTGTTTCCTAAAAAAACACCCATAAGATCCTCCAAGGGGCCCACCTCAGTTAAGCTAGGAATTCACTCAGCCTATTAATATACTAAAATGCCAAGTCAGGGCTTCTCTGATTGTTGCTGCATGCAATAGGATGTGACAGTTTTTAGAAGTGGCTTGTTTAAAAGCTTTGCACTTCCTTGGAAGAAGGGTTCATGTAATATGACTAAATAATTATTATGATCATCATACATATTCATCAGATAAAATTATTTTTCAAGTATATACAGAACAAAATATGCTAGGTTTTAAGGTTTTCATTCTAAAATAGGATGACACCATTCTTTTTTTTTTTTTTTTTTTTTTTTTGAGATGGAGTCTCACTCTGTTGCCCAGGCTTGAATGCAGTGGCATGATCTCAGCTCACTGCAACCTCTGCCTCCTGGGCTCAAGCGATTCTCCTGCCTCAGCCTCCCTAGTAGTTGGGACTACAGGAGTGCACCACCATGCCCAGCTAATTTTTTTTTTTTTTTTTTGTATTTTTGGTACAGACACAGTTTCACCATGTTGCCCAGGCTGGTCTCAAACTCCTGGGCTCAAGTGATCCACCTGCCTTGGCCTCCCAAAGTGCTAGGATTACAGGCATGAGCCACCACACCTGGCCAGGATGACACCTTTATAATGTACGTGTGACTTGCTTTAAATAAACCAGTAGTTTTCTGAAATGTCAAATGTGTGTGGTAATGTTCAAGCTGGACAAGTATCTCCTTCGGTGTATGTTATCTAACTAGTATCTTTTATACAGAGGCCTTGCTCACTCAAACCTAGTCTCTCTTTAGGTACCAAGAACATAACTAGATAATCTTTTAAGGCCAACCATTCCCAGTTCAACATTCCATTCAACATTATCTACACAGAGATCTTATGTGTAATATTCGGAAAACAAAAGACTTAATTTGAGAAGAGCCAGAGTAAAACTAGAAACAGATTTACTTGGCAATTAAGTTAGATAAATATCAGTAATTACAGCATATATAACCCAGGTGTGGTCTTATTTCATCTTTCCTCTCAAAGGAATTAGTATAGTCTTTTGGCCCTGGGTGGCTTAGGTCAGAGTCCTCTTCTTGCATCATTATCCTTTGGGATTCCTGATGACACTCTCTGTGGGGGTTCTCAGATTCTGGCTGCATTCTCTCACGGTTCCCCTCTACCTTTAGAAAGTTTCTTTGTTACAACATGTTCAGCTGTTGGTGCTTTCAACCTGACTTTTTGATCTCCTCTGCACATTTAAGCAGGGCTTTATCTGATGCTGACAGTTTTGCCGTGCTTCCCATGGTAACATTCTCTGCATCTAGTCCCAGGTTTGCACATCTTATTGTGGTTCCCCTGCCTCTTAGATTAGGTCTCAGACATACCTCACAATCTTTCTCAGCTGGGCTACAGAACATCTCCTGGCATCTGGGGAGTTTAGGACAAGAGGACAGAGAAGATGTGACTCTGGACTCCTAGCTATGCTTCAGCTCAGGCAGCTTGACTTTGAGCTCTATTATATATTGCATTCTAGGTAAGATTTCTTTCTAAGCAAGATTTTCTTGGCAAACAAGCAAATGGAGAAGTTTACATACTAAAATGATGGCAAGTACTTCTTTCTTAAGTCACCATGTGGTCAGGGAAACTTCTGTTTATATTCACTATTCTGGTTACCTATTACTATGTTACAAAGCCATACAAAAATTGGCAGCTTAAACAGACAAGCATTTAATTATATCTCCAGATGTCATGGGTCAGAAATTCAGAGAAGGCTCAGGCTCAGCTGGGTGGGTTTTGTTTTTCTCTGCGTGGCTTGAAGGAGTTCACTTGGGGGTACTCAACCCTTAGGTGGTCTGAATGGTCCACAACAGCTTCTCTCTCATGTCACTTGATGGTGACAGCAGGAAGTCTGGGCTCAGCTGGATCTGTCAACCCAAAGTGCCTACATGTGACTACTCCAGCATGGCCATCTCAGGAAAGCTGGACTTCTTATATGGAGGCTCAGAGATCTCAAAAATAGTGTTCTAAGAAACAGAAAGTGAAAACCTACAGATATTTAGGGCCTGGGCTCAGAAAACTGGCACAGTGTCACTTCTGCTATTATTCCATTGGTCAAAGCAGTTACAGAGCCCATCCACATTCAAAGGGAAGGCAATAGACCTCTACCAAAAATAGTAGCAAAGAATTTGTGGCTATCTTTAATCTACCATAGTTACAGACCTTTAAATGGTGCCATCTTTGACCCAAATGACCATATGGTCAGTGACTTCACCACTCCCACTTCTCTTTCTGATCTCAGTTTCTGGTCTTGCTCTCTACCCTGGCAAAGATGATCATGCTGCTGAGTTGACATATACTGACCAGTCTAAGGAATCATGGCCTCACATTGTTCACTATACATTTCTGAACTGGCTTCCAAGAGCACTGTCTGTATTCCCTATCAGTCCTTCCACTCTGTGAAGTGCAGAGGTTTCCCTTTGGCTACGGTTGTCATATAAAAGAAGGTGTATGTAGTTAAACTTGAACTTCAGATAAACAACAAACTTTTTTATTATTATAAGAATGTCTCAAATATTGCATGGGACATACTTATACTAAACAATTGTTTAATCCCACAGTCCTAATATTTTGCTGACATGATTAAAGCAATTACTTATACCCGTATCACAGTTTAACAATGGAGACAAGAGTCACAGAATTATTTTAATTCTTTGACTTTTCTTTCCCATAACATGTGGTTTATAATCACACTGATTGCGTGAGGGTGAGAGGAATCCAGTCCTGAGATCAATCAAATCTTATGATCACCACTTTGCCTAAATATATTAATATATAAATGGCTTCTACTAAATAAACTTTCTTGTTTAGCAAATGCTTCTATCATTCCTTTTTGAAGTTAAAGAAAACCTCTGCATTTAAATGTAGCTATATTGCAAATTTAAAGGGTCAGTCAAAAGTATTTATTGAGTGTGTACTTTATGTTAAGTCAGTAACGATCAGCATGTGCTTCTTGACTGGGAGGAGTTCAGCGTCTAGGAAGGATACAGAAATGTGAACAGGTTATCACAGAGCAACGTAATAGGACTTAAAACAAGAAAAGGGTTCAGCAGGTATGACTTAAAAGGCTTAGGGAATTTGACATCATAAAGGAGGTAATATTTGGTCTGATCTTGAAGAACAAGTAAGAATTACCCAGGCAGAAAAGGAAGCCAAAGTCATTCTCAGCAGAAAACAAAAACAAATAAACAAACTTGTACAAATGAACAGTCATGAAGGATCCTGCCATGTTTGTGTAGCAGAGAAGGCTCTTGGTCTAGTCAAAGCTGGAGAAGAGGCACTGGAGCCCCATTTGCTCAGCTTCACCTATGCTACAAATACATAGAAAGGATGAGGTTCCTAATTCATCCCAACATTTAGCAACAGCAAGAGGAAGCCTAACAAAAGCAAGTGATCACAAGGCCCAACAAATAATCAAAATAAAGGCAACAGGAAAGATGCCCAACTTCAGCAAGGATGAAAAGAAAATTGGTGCTGTAGCTCCCACAACTTTAATTCTCCTCTCACTATGGCAAAAGTCAATTTTCTACATGAGACTGGCTTGGAAAATTACAGAAAATAATTTACAAGTTTTCAGTTTTAGAGATAATCAGCAAAATATTTCTCTGACCCACTGTGTGAAGAAATGAGCAAAAACTCTTCTAACAATTCCATTAGAAATCCTATGATAGCAAGGTCCCAAACAAGCTAGAAAGCAGGTTCCTATGCATACAGAAGCCATGTATATTTGGGTACTGCATACTTGTAATTTAGGATTAATGATAGTTCAGTGGTCCAAAATGGACAGGAAAACATGGTGAAGAGCCAAGACTCAATGATAACAAAACAGCAGAAACATCTTTTTGATGTCTGATACACCTTCAATTATTTGATGTTTTTCATAACTGATTTTATAAACCTAATTATTAAAACTTGAAAGACAAAATGAGGTATCATGACACACCTATTGGAATGGCTCAAAATTAAAAAAAAAATCTGACAGTGCCAAATGCTGAAGAGAATGCAAACCAACTTGAATGTTTATATATTGCTGGTGGGATTTCCACATTGGGAAAATGTTTGGCAGTTTATAAAGTGAAGGTTACATGAAGGTATTTACCCTGGAGAACTAAAAGCCTATGTCCACATAAAAACCTGCATATGGATGTTTAAGTAATCTTATTCATAAATGCTTAAAGTTGGAAACAACCCAAAATGTCTATCAACTGGTGAATAAATTGTTATATCTATATAGCAATAAAAAGAACTACTGATACACACAACAGCATGGATGAATCTAAGAAGCATTATGCTAAGTGGAAGAAGCCAGACTCAGAAGAATACATATTGAATGATTCAATTTATATGATATTTGGAAAAGAAAAAAACTATGAGACACAAATCTGATCAGTGGTTGCCAGTGTCTGGAAGTGGAGGAGGCAGATTGACTCCTACAAAGGGTCATGAGGAAATAAATCTATATCTTGATTTTGGTGATTGTTACCTGACTGTATAAATTTGCCAAAATTCATTGAATTGTACACATAAACACAGTGAATTTTATTGTATATAAATTATATCTTAAAACAAAATAAACTTTTATGTCTAAGACAGAAAAAAACTTGAGTTGAAGAAAGCAGTATCTTGATTTTTTGTTTGATTATGGTTTGACCATTTTCACTACTGAAGGCTTTTGATCTTTATCCTTTTGTTGGCAATAATTTATATCCTATATATCCAGTGGTAGACTTGAACGTCAATCAACCATTTTCAGCCAGTTTTGAGAGAATTAAGCCCTAATAACTACAACATCCATAGTATGTAATGAACAAATGTCTCGTCTCTGAAGCTAGAGAGGTCCTAGTTATGTACCATCTTTGAGAAAACTGAGGAAAAGGTCACTTAAGTTATTTTCTATGTTTTATGGTTTAGATGAGGAACTCTGATTGAACTTATAGCTAATGTAGATTAAACTAGTAAAAAGAGAACACTTAGGCATATTAGCACAATGTAGGCAAGTAACTATGTTTTTGAGCACTTTTTCATTTTATGAAGTAATTCTGAATACTACAAAGGGAAAATATGGAAAGATTGCTTTTACTAGTTTGTGTCTGCACCAGCTGTTTTTGCTTTCTTATTTAGAACACTAAATAGTTTCAAACTACTAACACTAAGTAGTTTCAAACCACAAAACCAAGACTAATTCACCAGGGCAGTCAGCCTTACCTCTCAAAAACACATTTCTTATCTTCCTTGTTTTGACAGCCTTGGTGTTGGGATGTAAAATTCCTGAGGTGTTCCCTAAATAGACAGGGGAGTGCTTCTTTCAGGAATAGCTAATTTGAGTCAATAAAATGTTTGTCAAAGGGGAAGGAAAAAAATCAGGGGGTCTCAAGAAATACAACACAGGGGTAACCCTTAGACTAATTTTCTACTGTGAAATCTGAGGTATCTTAGAGGACATCTGGCACTAAGTTTACACCAGGTACTCATAAAAGGAGAGCCTGTAGAGAAAATTAACTTTAAAATTCATCTAGCTGTAAATTCAGACATCCAAAACATAAAATGGAGCAATGGGAGAGTAAAAGTGTAAGGTTGTTGTGTGCAATCAAATTTGAGTTGTTATCATCTTGAAATAAACTGTTATAAGATGTTGTGTGTAAGCCTCATGGTAACCAGAAAGCAAAAATCTGTAGGAGACAAACAAAACAAAAATAAAAAAAGATTCAAAACATATTACTACAGAAAACCATCAAGCCACAAAGAAAGACAGCAAGAGAGAAAAAAAGAAACAAAGTATCTACAAAACAACCAGAAAACAATTAACAAAATTGCAGTAATAATAAGTCCTTACCTATAAATAATTACCTGAATGTAAATGGATTAAATTATCCAATAAAAAGACATAGAGTGAATAAATGGATAAACAAAACCAAGACCCAATTATATGCTGCCTATAAGAAATTCACTTCACTTTTAAGGACATACTTAGATGAAAGTGGAGGGATGGAAAAATATTTCATGCAAACAGAAAAAAAAAGAATTTTTGTTTTCTAGGAATATCAATACTTATGTCAGACAAAATAAACTTTAAGTTAAAAACTAAAAAGAGACAAAGAAGGATATTATGTGATGATAAACTGGTGATTTCATCAAGAAGATTAAACAATTATAAATATATATATGCATATGCACCCAACAGTGGAACACCTAAATATATAAAACAAATATTAAGACTATTTAGAGAGATATAGATTGCAATACAGTAATAATATGAGACTTCAATACAACACTTTTCATAATGGACATGTGGAAACATTGGACTTGAACAACACTTTAGAATAAATGACCTAACAGGCATATACAGAACATTCCATCCAACAGCAACAGAATACACATTTTTCTCAAGTGCACATAGAACACTCTCCAGGATAGGTAATATGTTAGGCCACAAGACAAGTCTTAGCAAATTTAAGATTAAAACCATATCAAGTATCTTTCTGATCGCAATAAAAGAAGAAATTAATAACAGAAGGAATCTAGGAAAACTCATTAATATATGAAATGAAACAACATGTTCCTGAAAAACCAATGAATCAACAAAGAAATTAAAAGAGAAATTTAAGAACATCTTGAGACAAACAAAAATAGAGACACAACATATAAAAATGTATGGGATGCAGCAAAAGCAGTTGTAAGAGGAAACTTCATAGCAATAAATGCCTACATCATAAAAGAAGAAAGGTAGCAAAAAAACAACAATGTTGTGCCCCAAGGAAATAGAAAAAGAAGAACAAAGTAATCTCAATGTTATGTAAAGGAAAGAAATAATACATATCAGAGCAGAAATAAATAAAATAGAAGTTAGAAATACAATACAAAAGATCAACACAAATAGAAGTTGGGGCTTTTTTTTTTTTGAGAAGACATAATTTACAAACCTTTGGCTAGACTAACCAAGAGAAAAAGAGAAAAGATTCAAATAAACAAAACCAGAAATGAAAGAGGAGATATTATGACTGATACTACAAAAATACAAAGGATCAAAAGAACAATTATATGCCAAAAAATTAGATAACTGAGAAGAAATGGTTAAATTCCTAGACACATACAACCTCCAAACACTGAATCATAAAGAAATAGGAAATCTGAATAAACCAATAATGAGTTAAGAGATTAAGTCAGTAATCCATAGTCTCCCATTTAAAAAAAAAAAAGCCTAAGACCTGATTGCTTCACTGCTGAATTTAACCAAACGTTTAAAGAATAACTAATGTCAATTCTCCACAAACTTTTACAAAAAATTAGAGGAAGGAATATTTTCAGACCTATTTATGAGGCTAGCATGGTTCTGATACCAAAGCCAGACAAAGACATCATAAGAAAAGAAAGCTACCAGAAAATATTTTTGATTAACATCAGTGCAAAAGTCCTCATCACAATAGCAGCAAACAAAATTCAACTACACATTAAAAGGATCACACACCATGATCAAGTGAGACTTATTCCTGGGATGTAAGGATGATTCAACACTCACAAACCAATAAATGTGATAGACTACATTAACAGAATGAGGGACAGAAAATTATATAATCATGTCATCAGATGAAGGAGTCATTTGACAAGATTTTTCATGATGTTCTTTCATGATAAAAACACTCAACAAATTAGCTATGGAATAACAGTAATTCAACACAGTAAAGATGATATGTAAGAAACTCATGGCTAACATTATACTCAATGGTGAAAAACTGGAACCCTTTCCTCTAGAATCTAGTACAAGACAAGCATGCTCACTCTCACCACTTACATTCAACAGTTTGGAAGTCCTTGCAGACCAATAAAGTAAGAGAAAGAATTAAAAGGCATCCAAAAGATGGCCGAATAGGAACAGCTCCGGTCTGTAGCTCCCAGCAAGATCAACGCAGAAGGCGGGTGATTTCTGCATTTCAAACTGAGGTACCCAGTTCATCTCAATGGGACTGGTTGGACAGTGGGTGTAGCCCACAGAAGGTGAGCTGAAGCAGGGTGGGGCATCACCTTACCCTAGAAGCACAAGGGGTCAGGGAATTCTCTCCCCTACCCAAAGGAAGCTGTGAGAGACTGTACTGGGAGGAACAGTACACTCCGGCTCAGATACTGTGCTTTTTCCATGGTCTTCCTAACCAGCAGACCAGGAGATTCCCTACGGTGCCTATGCCACCAGGGCCCTGGGTTTCAAGCACAAAACTAGGAGGCCATTTGGGCAGACACCGAACTAGGTGCAGGAATTTTTATTCATGCCCCAGTGGCATCTGGAATGCTAGTGATACAGAATCGTTCACTCCCCTGGAAAGAGGGCTGAAGCCAGGGAGCCAAGTGGTCTGGCTTGGCAGGTCCCACCCCTATGGGGCCCAGCAAGCTAAGATCCACTGGCTTGAAATTCTCACTGCCAGCACAGCAGTCTGAGCTTGAACTGGGCCACTCAAGCTTGGTGGGGAGAAGGGTATCCACCATTGCTGAGGCTTGAGTAGGCGGTTTTACCCTCACATTGTAAACAAAGCCGCCAAGAAGTTCGAACTGGGCGGAGCCCACTGCAGCTCAGCAAGGTAGCTCAGACTGTCTCTCTATACTCCTCCTCTCTGGGCAGTGCATCTCTGAAACAAAGGCAGCAGCCCCAGTCAGGGACTTATAGATAAAAGCCCCATCTCCCTGGGACAAAGCATCTGGGGGAAGGGGTGGCTGTGGGCACAGCTTCAGCAGACTTAAATATTCCTGCCTGACAGCTCTGAAGAAAGCAGTGGACATCCTAGCACAGTGTTCGAGCTATGATAAGGGACAGACTGCCTCCTCAAGTGGGTCCCTGACCCCCGTGTATCCTGACTGGGAAACACCTCTCAGTAGGGGCCGACACTCACCTCATACAGGAGAACTCTGCCTGGCATCTAGTGAGTGCCCCTCTGGGACAAAGCTTCCAGAGGAAGGAACAGGCAGCAATCTTTGTTGTTTTGCAGCGTCCGCTAGTGATACCCAGGCAAACAGGGTCTGGAGTGCACCTCCAGCAAACTCCAGCAGACCTGCAGCAGAGAGGCCTGACTGTTAGAAGGAAAACTAACAAACAGAAGGAAAAGTATCAGCATCAACAAAAAGGACTTCCAATCAGAGACCTCATCCAAAGGTCACCAACATCAAAGATCAAAGGTAGACAAATCCATGAAGATGGGGAGAAACCAGCGCAAAAAGGCTGAAAATTCCAAAAACCAGAACGCCTCCTCTCCCGCAAAGGATCACAACTCCTCTCCAGCAAGGGAACAAAACTGGACAAAGAATGAGTTTGATGAATTGACAGAAGTAGGCTTCAGAAGGTGGGTAATAACAATTCCCCAGAGCTAAAGGAGCATGTTCTAACCCAATGCAAGGAAGCTAAAAACCTCAGAAAAAAGGTTAGATGTATTGCTAACTAGAATAACCAGTGTAGAGAAGAACATAAATGACCTGATGAAGCTGAAAAACACAGCACGAGAACTTCATGAAGTATGCAGAGGTATCAATAGCCGAATTGACCAAGCAGAAGAAAGGCTATCAGAGATTGAAGATCAACTCAATGAAATAAAGTGAGAAGATAAGATTAGAGAAAAAAGAGTGAAAAGAAATGAACAAAGCCTCCAAGAAATATGGTTCTATGTGAAAAGATCAAATCTACGTTTGATTGGTGTACCTGAAAGTGACAGGGAGAATGGAACCAAGTTGGAAAACACTCTGCAGGATATTATCCAGGAGAACTTCCCCAACTTAGCAAGGCAGGCCAACATTCAAATTCAGGAAATGCAGAGAACACCACAAAGATACTCTTCAAGAAGAGCAATCCCAAGACACATACTCATCAGATTCATCAAGGTTGAAATAAAGGAAAAAATTTTAAGGGCAGTCAGAGAGAAAGGTCTTGTTACCCACAAAAGGAAGCCCATCAGACTAGCAGTGGATCTCTCGGGAGAAACCCTACAAGCCAGAATAGAGTAGGGGCCAATATTCAACATTCTTAAAGAAAAGAATTTTCAACCCAGAATTTCATATCCAGCCAAACCAAGCTTCATAAGTGAAGGAGAAATAAAATCCTTTATGGACAAGTAAATGCTGGGAGATTTTGTCACCACCAGGCCTGCCTTACAAGAGCTCCTGAAGGAAGCACTAAACATGGAAAGAAACAGCCAGTACCAGCCACTGCACAAACATGCCAAATTGTAAAGACCATAGACACTATGAAGAAACTGCATCAACTAACAGGCAAAATAACCAGCTAGCATCATAATGACAGGATCAAATGCACACATAACAATATTAACCTTAAATGTAAATGGGCTAGATGCCCCAATTAAAAGACACAGATGAGCAAACTTGTTGAAGAGTCAAGACCCATCTGTGTGCTGTATTCAGGAGACCCATCTCATGTGCAAAGACACACATAGGCTCAAAATAAAGGGAGGGCTGAATATTGACTGAGAACATGGAAGGCAAAAAAAGAGCAGGGGTCACAATCCTAGTCTCTGATGAAACAGAATTTAAACCAACAAAGATCAAAAGAGACAAAGAAGGGCATTACATAATGGTAAAGGGATCAAAGCAACAAGAAAAGCTAACTATCCTAAATATATATGCAACCAATACAGAAGCATCCAGATTCATAAAGCAACTTCTAAAAGACCTACAAAGAGACTTAGACTCCCACACAATAATAGTGGGAGACTTTAACACCCCACTGTTAATATTAGACAGATCAAGGAGACAGAAAATTAACAAAGATATCCAGGACTTGAACTCAGCTCTGGAACAAGCCAACCTAATAGACATCTACAGAACTCTCCATGCCAAACCAACAGAATATACATTCTTCTCAGCACCACATTGCACTGATTCTAAAATTGACCACATAGTTGAAAGTAAAACACGCCTCAGCAAATGCAAAAGAATACAAAATCATAAGAAACAGTCTCTCAGACCACCAGGCAATCAAATTGGAACTCAGTATTCAGAAACTCACTCAAAACCACACAATTACATAAAAACTGAACAACCTGCTCTTGAATGACTACTGTGTAAATAATAAAATTAAGTCAGAAATAAATAAGTTCTTTGAAACCACTGAAAACAAAGACACAATGTACCAGAATCTCTGGGACACATTTAAAGCAGTGTGTAGAGGGAAATTTACAGCACTAAATGCACATAAGGGAAAGCAGGAAAGATCTAAAATCAACACCTTAACATCACAATTAAAAGAACCAGAGAAGCAAAACCAAACAAACTCAAAAGCAAACAGAAGACAAGAAATAACCAAGATCAGAGCAAAACTGAAGGAGATAGAGACATGAAAAACCCTTCAAAAAAAGTCAGTGAGGCCAGGAGTTGGTTTTTTGAAAAGATTAACAAAATAGATAGACCACTAGCCAGACTAATAAACAAGAAAAGAGAGAAAAATCAAATAGACACTATAAAAATGATAAAGGGAATATCACCACTGATCCCAAAGAAATACAAACTACCATCAGACAATACTATAAACACCTCCATGCAAATAAACTAGAAAATCTAGAAGAAATAGATAAATTCCTGAAAACATATACCCTCCCAAGACTAAACCAGGAAGAAGTCGAATCCCTGAATAGACCAATAACAAGTTCTGAAATTGAGACAGCAATTAATAGCCCACCAACCAAAAAAAGTCTAGGAACAGACGGATTCACAGCCAAATTCTAACAGAGGTACGAGGAGGAGCTGGTACTTCAGAAAGTATTCCAAGCAACAGAAAAAGAGGGACTCCTCCTTCACACATTTTATGAGGCCAGTATCATCCTGATACCAAAACCTGGCAGAGAAACAACAAAAACAGAAAATTTCAGGCCAATATCCCTGATGAACATTGATGTGAAAATCCTCAATAAAATACTGGCAAACCAAATCTAGCAGCACATCAAATAGCTTATCCACCACAATCAAGTCAGCTTCATCCCTGGGATGCAAGGCTGGCTCAATATACACAAATCAATAAACATAATCCATCACATAAACAGAACCAATGACAAAAACCACAGGATTATCTCAATAGATGCAGAAAAGGCCTTCGACAAAATTCAACAGCCTTTTATGCTAAAAACTCCCAAAAACTAGGTATCGATGGAAGGTATCTCAAAATAATAAGAGCTATTTACAACAAACCCAGAGCCAATATTATACTGAATGGGCAAAACCAGGAAGCACTCCCTTTGAAAACCGGCACAAGACAAGGATGCCCTCTCTCACCACTCCTATTCAACATAGCGTTGGAAGTCCTGGCCAGGTCAATCAGGCAAGAGAAAGCAATAAAGCGTATTCAAATAGGCAGAGAGAAAGTCAAATTGTCTTTGTTTGCAGATGACATGATTGTATATTTAGAAAACCCCATTGTCTCAGCCCCAAATCTCCTTACGCTGATAAGCAACTTCAGCAAAGTCTCAGGATACAAAATCAATGTGCAAAAATCACAAGCATTCCTATACACCAATAATAGACAAGAGACAGAGATCCAAATCATGAGTGAACTCCCATTCACAGTTGCTACAAAGAGAATAAAATACCTAGGAATCCAACTTACAAGGGATGTGAAGGACCTCTTCAAGGAGAACTACAAACCACTACTCAACGAAATAAGAGAGGACATAAACAAATGGAAAAACATTCCATGCTCATGGATAGGAAGAATCAATATCATGAAAATGGCCGTACTGCCCAAAGTAATTTATAGATTCAATGCTATCCACATCAAGCTACCATTGACTTTCTTCACAGAATTGGAAAAGACTACTTTAAATTTTATATGGAACCAAAAAAGAGCCCACATAGCCAAGAAAAGCCGAAGCAAAAAGAACAAAGCTGGAGGCATCATACTACCTGACTTCAAACTATACTACAAGGCTACAGTAACCAAAACAGCATGGTACTGGTACCAAAACAGATATATAGACCAATGGAACAGAACAGAGGCCTGCAAAATAACACCACACGTCTACAACCATCTGATCTTTGACAAACCTGACAAAAACGAGCTATGGGGAAAGGATTCCCTATTTCATGAATGGTCTTCGGAAAACTGGATAGCCATATGCAGAAAGCTGAAATTGGACCCCTTCCTTACACCTTATACAAAAATTAACTCAAGATGGATTAAAGACTTAAATGTAAGACCTAAAACCATAAAAACCCTAGAAGAAAACCTAGGCAATAGCATTCAAGACATAGGCATGGGTAAAGACTTCATGATTAAAACACCAAAAGCAATGGCAACAAAAGCCAAAATTGACAAATGGGATCTAATTAAACTAAAGAGCTTCTGCACAGCAAAAGAAACTATCATCAGAGTGAACAGGAAACCTACAGAATGGGAGAAAATTTTTGTAATCTGTCCATCTGACAAAGGGCTAATATCCAGAATATACAAAGAACTTAAACAAATTTACAAGAAATAAACAAACAACCCCATCAAAAAGTGGGCAAAGGATATGAACAGACACATCTCAAAAGAAGACGTTTATGTGGCCAAAAACATATGACAAAAAGCTCATCATCACTTGTCATTAGAGAAATGCAAATCAAAATCACTTTGAGATACCATCTCTCGCCAGTTAGAATGGTGATCATTAAAAAGTCAGGAAACAACAGATGCTGGAGAAGATGTGGAGAAATAGGAACGCTTTTACACTGTTGGTGGGAATGTAAATTAGTTCAACCATTGTGGAAGACAGTGTGGAAATTCCTCAAGGATCTAGAACTAGAAATACCATTTGACCCAGCAATCCTATTACTGGGTATATACCCAAAGGATTATAAATCATTCTACTATAAAGACTTAAGCACACGTATGTTTATTGTGGCACTGTTCACAATAGCAAAGACTTGGAACCAACCCAAATGCCCATTAATGATAGACTGGATAAATATAATGTGGCTCATATACACCATGGCATACTATGCAGCCATAAAAAAGGGTGACTTCATGTCTTTTTCAAGGATATGGATGAAGCTAGAAACCTCATTCTCAGCAAACTAACAGAAGAACAGAAAACCAAACACCACATGTTCTCACTCATAAATGGGAGTTGAATAATGAGAACACATGGACACAGGGAGGGGAACATCACAAACTGGGGGGTGGGGGACTAGGGGAGGGATAGCATTAGGAGAAATACCTAATGTAGATGACAGGTTGATGGGTGCAGCAAACCACCATGGTACGTGTATACCTATGTTACAAACCTGCACATTCTGCACATGTACCCCAGAACTTAAAGTATACTATAAATAAATAAATGGCATTCAAATATGAAAGGAAGTGAAACTATTCCTGTTTGTTGATGACATGATGTTATGTATTGAAAATCCTAAATATTTCACAAAAGAAAACTGTTAAGACTGTATATGATTTGTCTCTGTGTCCCTGTCGAAATTTCATGTGGAATTGTAATCCTCAATCTTGGAGGAGGGGCTTGGTGGGAGGTGACTGGATCATGGGGGCAGACTTATGCCTTGTTGTTCTTACGATAGTGAGTGAGTTCTCATAATATTTGGATGTTTAAAAGTGTGTAAGACTTCCCCCTTTGCTCTCTTCCTCCTGCTCCAGCCATGTAGGATGTGCCAGCTTCCCCTTCACCTTCCGCCATGATTTAAGTTTCCTAAGGCATGCTTCCTGTACAGCCTGTGGAACCTTAAGCCAGTTGAACTGCTTCTCTTTATACATCACACAGTCTCAGGTAGTTCTTTATAGCCATGTGGGAATGGACTAATACAGAAAATTGGTACTGGAGAAGTGGGGCATTGCTATAAAGAGATCTGAAAATGTGGAAGTGACTTTGGAAGTGGGTAAGGGGCAGGGATTGGAACAGTTTGGACTCAGAAGAAGATAGGAAGATAAGGGACAGTTTGGAACATTCTGGACCTTGTTAACTTGTTGTGACAAAAATGCCAATAGTGATATTGTAAATGAAGTCCAGGCTAAGGTGGTCTCAGATGCAGATAAGAAATTTATTGGGAACTGGAATAAAGGTCCTTCTTGCTATGCTTTAGCAAAGAGACTGGTGGCATTGTGCCCCTGCTCTAGGGATCCGTAGAACTTTGAACTTGAGAGAGATGATTTAGGGTATCTGGCAAAAGAAATTTCTAAGCAGCAAAGCATTCAAGAACTGACCTGGTTGCTTCTAAAAGCCTATGCTTATCTGCATAAACAAAGAAATGACCTGAAAGTGGAACTTATATTTAAAAGGGAAGCAGAGCATAAATGGAAAATTTGCAGCCTGCCTATGTGGTAGAAAAGAAAAACCCATTTTCTCGGGGAGGAATTCAGGAATGCTGCAGAAATTTGCATAAGTAAAGACGAAGCAAATGTTAACAGCCATTGCAATGGGGAAAATACCTCCAAGGTGTTACAGAGACCTTTGTGCAGCCCCTCCTATTATAGACCTGGAAGTCTAGGAGGGAAAAATAGTTTTGTGAGCAGGCCCAGTGCCCTGCTGTTCTTTGCAGCCTCAGGACATGGCGCCCTGTGTCCCAGCTGCTCCAGCTCCAGCTGTGCTAAAAGGACCCCAGATACATCTCAGGCCACTGCTCCAGAGGGTGCAAGCTGTAAGCGACAAGGGCTTCCACGTGGTATTAAGCCTGCAAGTGCATAAAGGGCAAGAGTTGAGGCTTGGGATCCTCCACCTAGATTTCAGAGGTCGTATGGAAATGTCCGGATGTCCAGGCAGAAATCTGCTGCAGGGGTAGTGTCCTCATGGAGAACCTCTACTAGGGCAGGGGGAGAGGAAACATGGGGTTGAAGCGCCCACATAGAGTCCCCACTGGAGCAATGCCTAGCGGAGCTATGAAAAGAGGGCCACTGTCCTCCAGATCCCCGAATGGTAGATCCACCAACAGCTTGCACCATGCTCCTGGAAAAGCCACAGGCACGCAGTGACAGTCCATGAAAGCAGCTACAGGGGCTGTACACTGCAGGGCCACAGGGGAGGAGCTGTCCAAGGCCCTTCGAGCCCACCCCTTGCATCAGTGTGGCCGGATGTGAGACAGGAAGTCAAAGGAGATGATTTTGGAGCTTTAAGATTTAATGACTGCCCTGCTTGGACTTGCATGGGGCCTGTAGCCCCTTTGTTTCGGCTGATTTCTCCCTCTTGTAATGGGTGTATTTACCCAATGCCTGTACCCCCATTGTATCTTGGAAATAACTAACTTGCTTTTGATTGTACAGCCTTATAGGTGGAAGAGACTTGCCTTGTTTCAGATGAGACTTTGGACTTGGACTTTTGGGTTAATAATGGAATGAGTTAAGACTTTGGGGGACTGTTGGAAAGGCATAATTAGGCTTGGAAATGTAAGAAGGACATGAGATTTGGGAGGGGCCAGGGGCAGGATAATATGATTTGGCTCTGTGTCCCCAGCCAAATCTCATGTCAAATTGTAATCCTCAATGTTGGAGGAGGGGTTTGTTGGGAGGTGATTAGATCATGGGGGTGGACTTTTCCCTTGCTGCTCTCATAATGCAAGTGAGTTCTCATAAGATCTGGTTGTTTAAAAGTGTGTGGCACTTCCCCCTTTGCTTTCTTCCTCCTGTTCCAGACATGTAGGATGTGTCAGCTTCCCTTTTGCCTTTTGCCATGATTCTAAGTTTCCTTAGGCCTCTCCAGCCATGTTTCATGTACAGCCTGGAGAATACTGAGCCAATTAAACTGCTTTTCTTCATAAATTACCCAGTCTCAGGTAGTTCTTTATAGCAATGTGAGAACAGACTAATACAGACCTGATAAAGCAAGTTTAGTAAAGTTGCAGGATACAAAATCAACACACAAAAATTATTAGCATTTCTCTATATTAACGTGAACTTTCCAAAAACAAAATCAAGAGAACAATCTCATTTACAATTACTAAAAAAAAAAAAAAAAAAAAAAAATGCTTAGGAATAAATTTATCCAAAGAGGTAAAATACCTGTAAGCTAAAAACTACAAAACATTAATGAAAAAAATTGAAGACACAAATAAATAGAAAGATATCCCACGTTCATGGATAGAAAGAATTAATATTGTTAAAATATTCATACTATCCAAAGTTATCTATGGATTCAATGTAATTTCTGTAAAAATTTCAATGTCATTTTTCATGGATATAGACAAAAATTCTAACATGTCTATGGACCTCAAAAAAAAAAATAGCAAAGGCAAGCATTGGCTGAAAAGAACAAAGCTGGAAGCATCACACTACTTGATTTCAAACTGTACTACAAAGCAACAGTAATTAAAACAGCATGGTATCGGCATAAAAATAGTTCCATCAACCAATGGAACAGAATAGTGAGCCTCAGAAATGAACACATATCTATGGTCAATTGATTTTCAACGAAGGTGATAAGGATATTCAATGAGAAACAAATAATCTCCTTATTAAATGGTATTGGGAAAACTGGATATTCATATAAAAAAAGAATAAAATTGGACCCTGATCTCACCATATACAAAATCAACTCAAAATGGATTAAAGACTTAAATATAAGACTTGAAACTATAAAAATACTAGAGAAAGCAGGGAAGAAACTATACAACATTGGTCTGTGAAATAATGTTTTATAGTTGACCCCAAAAATATAGGCAACAAAAGCAAAACTAGGTAAATGAGATTACAACAAAATAAGAAACTTCTGCACAACAGAGGAAACAACAGCATCAAGAGATAACCTACAAATTGAGAGAAAATATTTGCAAGCCATACATTTGATAAGGAATTAATATCCAAAATACATAAGCAACTCAAACAACTGTAAAGAAAAGAAATAACTAGATAAAGAAATGTGCAAGGAACCTGTTAAACTGTTAAATAACTGTTAAAAAACTGTTAAATATTTGAGGTGATGGATATGTTAATTAGCTTGATTTAATCATTCCACAAAAAAAATCACATCATCACTTTGTACCTCAAAGATATATACAACTATAACTTGTCAATATATAATAAAAATAAATACAATAGAAAATAAAATTCACATAGCACTGAAATTATAAAGCATAGTCTTATTAGACAAATTTTCTACCAAACCACATGCTATGGATGTATACGTGAATGCTGAAGATAAATATTACTTCATATCAGGGTCATTTACCCAGAGCTTCTAGTAGTAGTGCTTCTATGAAATATGCATGCTTCAACAAAGCAGGGACCAGTGTGCTGTGGAGGAGGAAAGAGGATTGCACTCAACAGGAGCATGGGAGCAGGGGAGCCAAGAAGTACAACTTTACCAAAGAGAAGGGCATTGTGATATTTTCTAACACTGTGATTTGCTCCCCCAGCCGTTTCAGTTAGCTACTAGAAGCCATGGCTAACCACTTTAAAGTGACACTATTAGAATATTTCAGTCTTTTTCTATTGCCTTCTTTTTTTGGTGCTTCATTGCCTTTGATCCCAGATCCAGCTAATGAATCAATTACATGTTTTTTGTTTGTTTGTTGTTGTTGTTGTTGTTGTTGTTGTTGTTGTTGTTGTTGTTTTGAGACTGAGTTTTTTGCTCTTGTTGCCCAGGCTGGAGTGCAATGGTGCGATCTTGGCTCACTACAACCTCTGCTTCCCGGGTTCAAGCAATTCTACTGCCTCAGCCTCCCAAGTAGCTGGGATTACAGGTGCCCACCACCACGCCCAGCCAATTTTTTTTTTGTATTTTTAGTAGAGACGGAGTTTCATCATGTTGGCCAAGCTAATCTTGAACTCTTGACCTCAGGTGATCCATCCGCCTCGGCCTCCCAAAGTGCTGGGATTACAGGTGTGAGCCACTGCTCCTGGCCCAGTTAAAAATTTACTAGGCCTTTTTAGAAATAGAGAATTCTGTCTTTAATTTTTAAGGCACACACACACACACACACTCTCCTAATTTAGGGTCCTGAGAGCTTAGCATTTTTCATAAATCTTCTCCCTAACTGAAATTGCTTAAAGTAGCTAATATGTGGACCCCTTATTCAAGTATTTTGGGCTTAAACTGTTATTTGTTTCAATTTCGATGGAAAAGGATATAAAAGCCTACATACAGACTAAAGTTTCTTAACCCATAGTTAGTGGTTTTCAAAAGCCTATGTATTTGTCAAGTGTAGTTCAAATTTGTTCTCAGGCACTAAAAAAATGACACTAATATTCCCAATAGAATATATTTAGAATTAATAATAATTGCTAAACTTCCCATTTGCCAGGCCCTGTCCCAAGCACTTTACTTTTAATAACTTATTTGGACTTCACAGCAATACACAGAAATAAGTACAATTACTTCAACAGTGAGAAATGAAGTCAAATACCCTTTCTGCATCCAGAATTCTGTCTCTGCCATCTAGTTGACCAATTACTCTTATCCCGTGTTAATGACTGCCAAATAGCAATTTGAAACAAAGATTAATTTATTGGATTGTCTAGCAAGGGTGGTCTGTATTACTCAGCTATGAGCACTTCTTACTAAGCAGAAACTAAAAGAAATAGATTTAAAGTCAAAAGAGGAGAAAGAGAATATTCTGAGCCCAGGCCTCTGGATTGTTTACATCCTGTTTTGTAACGGTGGCTTACAGGTTTTGCACCATTGCTACAGAGAAGCTTCTTTTCCAACAAGTCCAGGATGAATTGTGTAAGATTCCTGTGGGCCTAGGGTCATCAGGCTACACGCACATGTTTAAAGTTTAGCAAGATTTCTATTTAGCATTAAGCAAATACCATGTGGCAACAGATCTGTATATGTGGTAAGACTGGAGTTTGGCTGGAGTGAAATGAATGTGAATCAGATGCTTCTACATTTCTCTATTCTCTGAGAGCACCCGCACATTCACCACAAAAAAGACCATAGGAGATGAACTCTAGTCATTTCTAACTTGCTTACAAGCATTCTATTTAGAAATTGTTCTGCATATAGTGCTCCCGGGTCTTATAGGAAAGACACCATAAACTATGAAGAAAAATTTTGTTGGTTCTACTAGGATTTAAAAACGTGGAAGCCAGGCATAGCCATACCACTACTTAAGATAAAGAAAAAAAAAGAATAAAAGCAAACAAAAAATGATAGCTATTTCAGATTACTTGAGCCTAGTTCATCTTTGCCTCCTCTGTCACTAGCAAAGGATATATTTCTAATTCCCACTGGCTCAGGTTTATCTTCCTGCTTAGTTAACAGCAAGACATGAGGAGAGCATAAAAAAATGTGCCATGGGTTGATAGAGTTGCTGCAAAAATCTCATCCCAAGAGCTGTTTCATGTCAAGCATCTAGGTTGGGATGAGGGAAGGGATGACATCACCCCAGTTCTCTCCCTCACCAGCAGCAGCTTGCCACAGCAACAGCAAAGCCACCAGACACACACACTGCTACATCTGGTTGGATATGGAGGAAAACCTTACTCAGAGTAGAAATAAGAAATTGTCTATTAGGTTGCTTCCTTCTCTACCCCCAAGTTTTTCCTCAAATTATTCGTTTGAATAAAGCAGTTGTTGTTCCTTGAATTTCCCTTTCAAAAACATTCTCCTGGAAAGGACAACCACTCAGTCATATTAATTCCCTGCTCAAAACTTTCCAGCTAATTCTGACTCTTTATCAAATGCTACACATCAGTGACAAAATAACCTACTGGAACAGAAAGCTGTCTAAATATGTAAAAAATGAACTAATTTCTATCTTGTGCATTAAAATCTTTCTAAGAGAATGTAATTAATTGTTCACACTGAAAATATACTCCAGTTTTACAACTCTTATGATTTTATAACTGACACCAGAAGACATAAAAACAATTCAGAGTAATGCAAACCCAATTACCAAATATTATCGAATGTAGAGAAGCAATAGAAAAGCATCAGTTAGGGCCCAAGAGGGTAGTCAGCAAGCCATTATGAAATCTGAAGTTGGGACAACTTCCTAGCATTTCTGTTACTGAAAACCAGTCCATGATTAAAACTGAGGAACAGATAGCAAAGACACATTTTCCTCCAAACCTGCAGTATTACAATAGCCTGGATATAACCAACACAGTTGAGCAGACATCAGCAGAGAGTTAACACAACCAGCAACTAGGAGTCAGAAATTTACCCAAATATCTCTGCTCAGTTTCAATTCACAAGATTCTTGGTTTATCTGATACTATCTATTTTTAGCATCATGAAATTTGTATAGATTCACTCTTCAGGTTGTTTTGCAGGTAACAAAAATAGCAAAGACCTATCCTCTATAATCTGAGAATTTATTCTCCAGACACAAAAGGATGCTTCAACAGAAAATAATTTGCAAAGAATTATAAAACAATATGACAACAACCATAAAGTAATATCTTATGAATTTAATACATATAAGCTGAAGATTTACATTAGAAAGTAATCAAACTAGGATAGGTTTAGCCAGAAAAGGCCTCCTGAAGATGGTTTTGTAACACATTTTAAAGGGACTTAACAGACATCAATTTTCAGTGGGAAGAATGGAAGGTACTAGCAAAGTCAAAGATACTGTATTATTTCTAGTGAAAAGACCATGATGTAGAGAAATAAAAGAGGATCTAACCAGGCCGGAGAATGTAGCAAACCCTGTAGAAGGAAACATTGTAATGTGGGATCTGAAATCCAATTAGATTTTTTGCATGTTGGCTAGTTTTATACTTGAAATAATACAGCTCCTCTTAAACAGGAAAAACTATACAAAACATTTGCACAAAACTTTAGGAATTTTATAGCATTTATATTCTCTCTAATTATAAAAGTAACAACTGTTCATGGTAGAACATTTGAAAAATATAGTAAAGTACAAAGAAGAGAGTTAAAATCTTCTATAATACCACATTTAGACATAACAACTGTTAACTCAGAGTCTTTCAATTTAGTCTGTGTATGTGTGTGTGCATATATATATATGTGTGCATACATGATGCCCTTTGTACACAAAATTGGACATCTTACTGCTCATACCATTTCGTGTATTTTTTCCACTTTCAATATTTTGAAACAAGCAGTCTGCTTTACGTGACACTTCTCATAGGACTTTTTTGTCATTCCGGTTTCATTGACACTTATTTTTTTCAATCTCCATTATGTCTGGCAAGTAGGAAAAATTTCAAATAAATCCCCAGTTATATTATCTGAAAGAAGTAATCATTAGCTGAAGAAATATCGTAGGTCGATACGAACATATTTTGGTTTCCTAGACTAAAATATTCAGAGATGACTAAGTTAGTAAAGATTTGATACACCCCAATTCTGTTAGGCAATAAGGAACTAACCTCTTGTTCCAAATATCGTTTGTCTCGTCTTCAAATTAGTGAAGAGACACTTTTGTTTACCACTGTCAATGTCATTATCAAATCCCATTTTTGAAAGAAGTGTGTCATGCCCAGGGCATAAAGTCCTCAGTGATTTCATTGGTTCAAAGAGGTTGCATTGTACTACTTTTCCATCACCCTCTAAATAGTGTGACATGGACCAAAGTCAAGCATGTCTCCTTCGAAAATCAGCTTATCCCACTCAGGCACAAAAGCAGTAGTTCATTTTTACTACATCTCCATGGGGGGCATTCGATTCAAAAGAGAGATTCAAAAAGCACTATAGTTACTCAAGGTAACAATTATTTTTCTTCATGAAAAAAACAAAGTTATTTCCATTATGCATTTGAGTTTCTTATTGAGAATTTCTACTAGTTTGTTTGCTTCAGTATTCTCCATAGTAACAAATACAGGGAAGCAGCTTTTCCCTTTGTAGTGAATGATCCACAGATAGAGAAACACAACATTGGTGACTGTTTCCCTATCAACTAATGAAGCTTTCCTCTGGAGATGCTTATGTGCCCAGTAGCCTGGGTAAGGTGACATGAGCAGACAAATATTATATGCCTTGCTCTCCCTCTATTTTGGAAAACTTAATGTTACAGGAAATAGAGCATTTCAATACAGGATGAAAATAACATCAAGTGAGAAGGCCTCTATGCTGACAGCTGCACAGAACTATTTACTTTCCTCTACCATGTGAAGTAGAGTGACCTTTCCAAAGCCTGGCGGCTAGAAATAGTCAACGAAATGCTGGCAACCTTAGCTGGTGACTTAGTTGTTTTAAATGAGAAAATGTATATAAACATATCACTTAGGTTTGGACACTTGCAAAAATATTGAAAGATCAAATATTTCTAGAATCTGCATAAATGCTTACAGATTTCTATATCAGACACTGCAAAGGGAAATGTTCAGAGACTGGCAATTTCTTTTCTACACAACATGTGTTTCTTCTGTGTAGACAGAGAAAAGCAAATCAACTTCCTGGACATTACAGTGAGAACTGGTTCAGGTGGACCCATGCTAGTCAAACCAAAACAGTCATTTATAAAACTCTATGCCATAGGGTTCATAGGATTCCAGGAAAAGACTTCTAAAATGCTCCCTGAGGTGAGCTACATTGAAGAAGCATACTGCAAATTTAAAAATAAAAACAACAGGTCAGTTTTCTTCCACATATTTTCTTCAAACCATTGTGACTCTAAGTCCAAAAGAGTTATATATAGGAATGAAATAAACACAAAGGCAGAGGAAAAGACAGCCCAAGTCAATGCATAGAGATAGCACATGATCTAATTTTTTTAAGTTGTTAGCTAGTTGAACATTTTACATAGCAATACATTGAGTCAAAAATGAGTTGACTCAGTAAAATAAATATTTGAATAGAATGAAACTTACAATAAAAATAATTCAGGGCCAGGCACAGTGGCTCATGCCTGTAATCCCAGCACTTTGGGAGACTGAGGCTGGTGGATCACCTGAGGTCAGGAGTTCAAGACCAGCCTGGCCAACATGGTGAAACCCCATCTCTACTAAAAATACAAAAATTAGCCAGGCGTGGTGTTGGGTGCCTGTAATCCCAGCTACTCGGGAGGCTGAGGCAGAGAGAATTGCTTAAAACCCAGGAGGCAGAGGTTGCAGTGAGCTGAGATTGGGCTACTGCACACCAGCCTGGACGACAGAGCAAGACTGTGTCTCAAAATAATAATAATAATAATCTGGCATTTACTTATATTATGCATCACTATATGACGATGAGGCCTAAGCTTTTATAAACAATACACATATTCTAAATACTATCTTAGTATAGTCAAATTGAGTGCTTCTAGAGTTCTCTGGAAGGAGAAGAAAGAGGAACCCCTAAAGATTAATGAACTCACAACACAAAAGAATCTAGAGGCCAGGCGCGGTGGCTCATGCCTGTAATCCCAGCACTTTGGAAGGCTGAGGCAGGCAGATCACAAGGTCAGGAGTTCAAGACCAGCCTGACAAACATGGTAAAGCCCATCTCTACTAAAAATACAAAAATTAGCCGGGGCGTGGTGGTGGGTGCCTGTAATCCCAGCTACTCGGGAGGCTGAGACAGGAGAATCACTTGAAACGGAAGGTGGAGGTTGCAGTGAGCTGAGATCGTGCCACTGCACTCCAGTCTGGGCAAAAAGAGTGAAACTCTGTCTCAAAACAAACAAACAAACAAAATCTAGAGACCAGCCTTTCTGCTTCTGGGAAATGGGACTCCATGATCTAAAGGCTCAAGAACTAAGAACCACAGATTTTCTGCCATTCCACCCTAACCTCCCCTCAGGGCTGCCTTGTACACCTCTGGGGGAGGAGCTGGCACCATTCATATTCTAGATCATGTGAATGGAGGCCACTGGAATTGTGCAACATGACAGGGTTGAATCCCGGCCAGAGAAGAATATTAGGAGGAGTTGGCTGCTGTTTGCACTCCTCCACCCCTATTCGTACTTTGATTTTCCATTCAAACATTTATTCAACAACTATTTGTGGAGAACTATATCAGTCGGGACTCTTTAATGAAGACGTCAGAAAACCAAACTCCAGCTGGCTTAATCAAAAAGGGAATTTATTGTTTCATGTATACAGGCTTTAAGTGAATAGCTGCTGTCATCAGAATTAAGTGTCGCTCCCTATCCCTTCACTCCACTTCCTCTGTGTTGACTCTAATTCTGTGACAGTGTTTGGGTCATCCTTGTGACGCAGTGGGCAGCGCGTCAGTCTCATTATCTGATAGAACTTTGTAAATTATTTAGCACTGTATGAGCTACTAAAAGACAAAATTCTCCCAGTTAATAATCATCCCATTCTCCTAACTTTAGTATTAATTCCAAAATCAACATAATCACCTTGTGAGAACATTAACCCATTATTTAGTAGGTGAATAAGTCTTAAGGAATAATCTCAAAGTCACAACCTTAGATAAAACAGAGGCAATTCAGTCTGAATTGGGCTTGTTGGGGGTAGAGCTTGGGCACCAGCAATTTTAACAACTCTCCAGGTGATAAGACCAGTGGCCTGTGCATTCAACAGATAACGTTGAGAACTAATTTGTCTACATTTGTGAAAGGTTTAAAACAATTCAGTAGTTATTATGACATTAAAACATATTTACGTTATACAACTGAGAAGCTCTTATTGGAAACGGAGTCCTAAGGATGGATGTTACGGGTTTTCCAAAATACCTAGGATCTACAGAAGTCTCGAAGCTCTGTTTAAATTTCATTCTTGATGCCTACTCTGACCTTTGGATAGCATCTATTCACATATAATTTTAGGACAAAATCAGGGTAAAGCTTGAAGCCTCTGTTTGTAGTGATATCATCTTTGAGATATTAACATATGCGTCTTTTTTCTTCCAGTGTTTGCCTCTTTCCTTCTCATTCAAACAGAGAGTAATCCTAAGGAGAAGGGTGAAAAAAGGCAGAAAGCACAAAAGTCTGAATTGTTCTAGGTTTGGCTTTCAAATGCCTAAGAACTTAAGTAGAAAATAGCCAGAGTAGAGACAAAATATTTGGAAGAAACAGGAAAGAAAGATTCTGTATCTGTCATCGGCACACCTTCCCCACCACACACACACACACACACACACACACACACACACACACACACGCAGACTGGGAATCAGTCTTCTATTGATCATAATAGCAGAGACTTTGGAAGATCTTACAGGGAGGATCCTATGGGTCTATGACTCCTGGAGAGAAAGCATAACTGTGATAAGCCTAAGCAGAAGAAACTATAGAAAGCTAAGTCTTCCATGCTCCCCTCTCCCCAGAGCTTGGCACAAAAATAGCAACAATTTTCCTGAGCCCCATTCACCTCCACCAAGATTGGCATAGAATTAAGAGAGAGAAATGAATGAGTTAAGTGAGCCATGTGGATACCAACAGGAGAACTCTGAACTGTCTAGCCTCAGCAAGACCAAGACTAAAGTTATTGGTCATTTGACATTTGTTCATCTTTCTTCCGGGAAAAAAAAAGGAATTTGACAAAGATGAACTGTCATCTTGTAGAATGGAGGACCATGAAACTTGAGCCATTCTATTCTCCAAAGAGAATTTGTACACATTACAAGGGGAAGTAAAAAGCAGGGGGTTATTGACAAAGCCTTTGCATCTATTCATAGGAGTGCTTATATGCTTGTGTATTAGCTATCTACAGCTGCATAACAAATTATCCCAAAACTCACTGGCTTTAAATTATAATAATTGTTTATTACCTCACACAGTTTCTGTGGATCAAGAATTTAGGAGTGTGAGCTTTCATTTTAGCTCAGGCTCTCTCAAGAGTCAAGATTTCAGCTGAGACTACAGTCATATGAAGGTTTGATTGTGTCTGGAAGATCTGCTTCCAAGATGATTCATTCACATGGCTAGTATGTTCACCTTGTCTGTTGGTGGAGAGCCTCAGTTGTTCTCTGTAAAGCTGCTTGAATATCCTCAGAACATGGTGGCTGTTTTCCTCCAGAGGGAGAGATTCAAGAGAAGGCAAGGTGGAAGTCACATTTTCTTTCATAACCAAGCTTCAGAAGTTGCTCACTGTCATTTCCCCCAAGGTCCTATAGATTACACACGTAAAGCCTACTGATAGCAAGAGGGGATTATACAAGACCAAGAACACCAGGAGGTGAGGTGCCATCTCAGAGGCTGGCTACCACAGCTTGCTACTTCGTAATCTTTCCACTAGAGAGTAAAGGATGCTTGCCCCAACTGAGAAAGGAAACATTCTAATTAAATGTCATTCCTGTCATCCATTTCAGATATAAACCAGGAAAGCAGCTCGCTTCACTCTCAAAGGGAAGCAGTGAGTAAACTGTGTTCTTTGAGCTTCACTCTGAATGCATTTGTTTTCACTGGTTTCCCAAAGACAGGGCATCAGATGCATAGGGGAAGCTTCATCGTCACTGCTTAGACTCAAGAAATAAATATGACACCTCATCAGCAATGCATTAAAAAACAATGTGGATGAGTCTGAGTTTTATTTAATTTAATTTTGAATAGAAAATAAAAGGGGAATTGCTATAAAATTCTTCTAATAGTCTGTTTCTTAAAATCCTGAACCTTTCACTCATTGCCTTATGAAAATTGTCAACTAACTTAGAGCCTGGTAAAGAGAATGAACTTTTTCCTGAGCTTTGTCCAAGAATTCCCAACAGTAACTAGTGTACATCAATGACTAAGGGAGAATTTTTCTACTCTTTGTTTCTGTGCCTTGATATTCTATAAGCCCCTAAATCCTTTATATAACCGTGGAAAGATGGGTGAAGCTTAAACAGAAGAATGAGACTTTGAGCTAAAATTAAGATGCAGAAAATTAATGTAGGTTATGTTTCTTTCACACATGAGTTTTTGGACTCGTGACCAAAATTTCTACTTTCCAAGTATTCTGATAAAAATTAAACCAATGCTTGAAGTAGAAGACAAAAATATCATTACTTTCATCTATATAAAACAAAACAATTGGATGACTCAATCCATTGGATCACTCCATTTAGTCAATTCTGTTTTTTTTAAAAAAAAAACCTCCAAAGAAGTTTTTAACAAAATTATATAGTAGTCTTGCCTCTATCAAGAACAGCAACAACAATAAAATAATTTATAAGACAAACGCTACTGAGGCACATTTTTTCACCTCATTTATTTGTCTCTCAACAAAGCTGAGGATTGTGCATGATGACTTCCAATTATCACGTGAGAAACCTGAGGGTCAAAAAGGTTAAATAACTTACCCGAGGATATTTAGTAAAGCCAGTGTGTTTGTTCGTTTTCACACTGCTGATAAAGATGTATCCAAGACTGGGTAATTTATAAAGAAAAGAGGCTTAATTGACTCATGGTACCACATGGCTGGGGAGGCCACACAATCATGGCAGAAGGCAAGGAGGAGCAAGTCGCATCTTACATGGTGGCAGGGAAGAGAGAGAATGAGAACCAAGTGAAAGGGGTTTCCCCTTATTAAAACCATCAAACCTCATGAGACGTATTCACTACCACGAGAACAGTATTCAGGGAAACCGCCCCCATGATTCAATTATCTCTTGCCAGGTCCCTCCCACAACACGTGGGCATTATGGGAACTACAATTCAAGATGAGATTTGAGTGGGGACACAGCCAAACCATATCAGCCAGGATTAGAATTCCCAACTGTGCAGCCTGAGTTCATTTAAGAACACTGTATCCCAGAAAGTGATCTTCTTTGTTGAACACAAGGCAAATTCAGATACTTTGAGGAAAATATTTACAATAAAAACATTTTATGTATAACATAGAAGGAGAAAAATAATTTACCATGATTATCAGTTCTAACAAGTACCCACTGTGCCCAAAGTATTCTAAGGGTTTTTTTTTTTCTTAATCATATATGCTCCAAAACTGAGCATTGTGGGAAAGCAGCAGCAGAAAATGGAACGTGACACTTCAAATAAAAAATTCCTTACCATACAGTGGGTTTTGCAATCCAAACTATTGATTGCAAAATTGCTCAGGCAGGATGTAAGGGAAAAAGCCTGCTCATTAACCAGCTCACCTAAGAGAAACTCTCAGAAGCCTTCATTTTTCATGGATTCTTCAACTACCATATTTCCTCAACCTCATCTAGTTGCAGATGTAGATGAAAAACTTTGAAACCTTTGAATGTCTGTACTGTGCCAAAGGTCTTTTTATCCATGTCTTTAATAGAGGAACTGAGGCCTAAGGATTAAACTTGTCTTAGGCTGCACAAATGGGATTAGCCAAAAAATTTTGCCTGATGACTTCAAATACAGCACTTTACTTGTTCTTGCAACATAGTCATATGTCTAAGGTTTCCCAGTCTTTTGGAAAATAAGATAGTCCATATAAAAATGTTTTTAAGGTTATAAAATGATGCAGAATTATTATTTTTGTACATTTGCTTTGGAGTTAACATTAACCTAGTTCAAATTATGTAATTACTATTTTATCACTTCATTCTTTGCTGCCGTGTCACTGCTCAGAAATCTTCTGAAATGGCTTATTGCAAACCTGAGGAAAGGAGCATGGCTGCAGGAAATATTTTTTTAAGTGGTAGTCATAATTTGGTTCTCAGATGACTTCTTTTCGGTATTTCTGTACCTCACCAGTAGCATGCTGGCATTGGTGAGAAAACAAAAATAATTATGCAACTATTATGAAACTTCACATTCAACAGTACTTTTTACTCTCCAAATGTGAGGAGGAAAAAACAGTCCCCGTGTCTATGTAGTTTTCTCCAGAGTATTTGCTTATAAAGACATAAAAGTGAAATTTACAGCATTCTTTCCAGGTGCACCCACAATTCACAATTTTCTTGCTCTTGTGGGTCAGATTTGCTGTGCAATTTAAAAACCAAAGCCCTTCCCACAAAATAAGAAAAGGACTGAAATTCCATCTGTAGCCCAAAACAGCTTTTTAAAAAGTGAAATATTTAAAAGTGTAGCATATTTATGTTTCATTTCACTCTCTTCACTTAATGTCTTGAAAAATATCAGAAGCAGAATTAGTACTTAAAAATCCCACCGTAAAAAGATTTTCTGTTTCAAGTTTGTAGAAAATGCTGAAGCTCCCTTTGTAGGATGACTTCCATCAGTTCTTTCTTTTTTTTCTTTTTTTGAGACAGAGTCTTGCTCTGTCATGAGACAACATATACAACTGCACTTTAAACATAAATCATGCAAATTCTTCAGTTATTTTAATTTTTGACCCCTGAGAAATGTGCCACTACCTATATAAGTGTGATTTTATTTTATTAGATGTGTCTGGACTTTCAATAGAATCTAGAATAGAAGTAGATAAAATTTCAACTTCCTTACTGAAAGTGTTTTATATAGTTCTTATATTTAACAGAGGACAAATGCAAATAGATCTGAGGGTCACACAGAACCCGTTAATACCACAGGGAAGAAAAAAAGCCAGGGTATGCTTATTGGTTTTTCCCAACCATTTTCTTTATGGGTTCATTTCACATCAATCTCACACCTTGGAAAAATATAGGTCTGAAGGGTTACTTGAATGTGAAATTTTCCTCTTTATAACATGGAATAGAAATTGAGGGCTTTTGATATTGTCATGGAAATGACTCTTTGTAAATACCGCTCAAAGGCCCATTTCAAGCCAGAATGAGCTGGAACAATGTTTTCTTTTTCTTTTCAATTATGAGATTGAAGTAAGGGTTGAGAGAAGTTCTGGTCAAGACAGTGGAAGGAAAGGGGAGGGGGGAAGAATGTGCCTGAGAGAATTTCTCTCACTTATGCCAATAAATTGGGTAGCGTAGTTTCATTCATCAGATGAAAAAAAGATGTTTGTCTCATCTCAGGTACACAAACACACAATTGTTGAGAACCAGAGACAAAAAGTAGGAAAAATAAGAAAACGGAAATGGGATGGACCACTTGACTACAACCCTCAATTTAAAAAAAGTTGAGTTTTATACTTGAAATTATGATGCACACACAAACAAGAAAATTCTACTTTTCAACATAAGTATTTTTGTTAAAACTAGGACTCACAAAATGGATAATGTTTCAGCAAATATTTAAACACCTAATTGAATTACTGTGAATTTTAACATTTGTATCATGTACAACTTTGTTTTCTTCTAACTGCAAGGGAATTAACCTTTAGATCACTCTAGTAAGAGAAAATAAAATAGATTGAAAGCAGAAAAATGATAATAAATAAAAATGTTATTTTAAAAAATACCCTCATGCTGAGACCATAAATTGGATTTCAGGTTTTATTATCTCAATGTTATGTTAATCTCTAGCCTTCTTAGCAATTAAAAAAATAAAAATGCAACAGTCTTCCCCACTTCAGACAAATCAGACCTTGTTGGAGAAAAAAACTTAGGAAAAAATTCCTGGATTTCTTAAGATTTAAGGACAATTTAGAGCTAACAATATTGGTTACTGGTGCAAAGCATGGTGTTTCCAAGTCACAACACGGTCCATATCTTGCCCCTCCCTTTAACGGCTCATTCTCTTATAAAACATTCTATTGATTCTTTTAACATTTGTTCTTTGAGTCCAGGGAGCAAGTGAAGGAAGATTTCTCTAAAATAATTGTTTGCAGCTTCCATCCATCGACCTCTTCTTTCATTGACAAGAAAAGTAATATCTTGTCTCCGCTAATAGGCTTGGGAAATATTTCTATAGGTCAGCTACCTTTATGGCAACTAGAGTATTTAAAGCATCTTAGAATGAGAGATAATGAACTGTTACTACTGTTAACATAGAGAATTTCATTTGAAAATGGCCCAGCTTAATGGAATGAGTATCTAAATTAATTTGAATTCCATTACCTTGATTTTGCAAAACTGGCACCTTAATGCCCAAGGGCAACTCTTATATCTTAGCTGTCTTTCCAACTGGAGTTGGTAGTACTCAGCCTCTTAGGTGAGACTGCTCTGTTTCTATGTTAAAATAAAACCTGCAACTAGCTTTTCAGCCTCACTTTGTAATTCAATTGTGTCCACCCCAGCGGGAGAATGGAGTGATTTGCTATTCTCTCTATTCAATGACATGCCTTCCATTTAGAGGCACATTCATAAATGTTTGAGAAGTGTGCTTTTAACATTAATCAAGAAATTACATAAAATGAACTGAGTATAACCACTATTGAAGATTAATATTTAATACCTAGCACTTATAAAGATAGCTTGATTCCATCTTCATCAAGCCTAGGAACAAAACAAAGCACTGAGTAATCCATTAAAAAAGATTGCTCCCATTTTCCACAATAGGAATTAAGGCAAAAATAAGAGAAAGAACTTTCCACAGACAAAGAAAGCGGAATAACTGAGATGAGGATTCAGGAGACACTCAAATCCTAGATATTTCTGACACTGATTTAAGTTTCTCTCTTTTTCAAGGGGAATGTGTCCTTTCTCAGCAGCTTCATGCCAATATGAGGACTTATGAAATGGTGGGGGAAATAGGGCCTTTTCAAGAAGGCTAATCTTGTAATGAGTAATAATGCAAATTCCTCTCATTTTAAAGAATCAAATAAATTCTCCAGTGCCAAAAACCTGGAGCTTAATCCTGTTAATCAATCAAGCCTGAGGTTAAAACCTGAAATTTGTACAGTTCTTTAAAGTTTATAAAGCTTTTTTAGTAATACTATCCTCCTTAGCTATTTCTTTTTCTTCACACTACTTATCAACACGTGACGTATACCTTTATCGGTTTATTTCTTTATCATCTTTTTCCTACTGTTAAAATGTAAACTCCATAAAAGCAGGAACTTTAGTCTGTGTTGTTATATCCCCAGTACCTGGAACGATGTTTGGCACATAGTGAACAGTAGGTGTGTGTTAAATGAATGAATCAGGTAGCTACATGGATAAATACTATTTCATTTGAGCTTTGAAACCTCCTGGAAAAAAAAGAAAAGTATTTCTTACTCTCTTCACAGATAAGAAAACTAAGACCAAATTATTTATGACAGTATAAACAGTTACCAGAGCTATTAGAAAGGTTAGGGCTAATAGAAGTCCCCTTCTAGTGTTATTTTGCTGACTTGTACAGAGGAACCAAACTATGGGTAGTGAAAGATTTACTGTTGTCAGAATCAGTTCATTTTCACTTTCCATGAAGACTCATTTAAGATAAAAAAGAAATAAGTGCATGTCCTTCTCTAAAACTATAGCTGTCAATGTTTCTTAGCTTTTTCTCTTTAATCACTTTCCTATATTAAATTGCCCTGAGAAGGTGTTTGTTGACTCATCACCCACTTTGTATTTATGACTTTCCTCCTGGTATTTTCTTTTCTACCCTATGTAATTAGTATGGCATACAGATGTCATTTATTGAGCCCTTTTTACACAATGCTAGTATTTTCTATTTGTCCACTCACAATAAGGAGGCTGCAGATCGATCACGCTCCAAAGCCCAGGCTCTTTCCACTCCAACACACTACCCCGATGGAAGTCCTGGCTAGAGAGACTTAGAGGCAGTCCCTGGGAGCCCCAAAATAGAGCCCACCGTCACCCTTAACAAGGGACTTCAGTAATAGTTAACCCCATGCTGGTTAGCTGCAGGGGTGTTGTGGTCTAGGGGCTCTGTATGGGCAACTGGAGACCTGATTATTAGCACCCCAGCATCCATGACACTTTCAGGGTGTCTGAAAATCCCAGAGCACTTGATTGAGGATTGAGATGAGAAATAAAATAATGATCCAGCCAATAGTTATTCTGGGAGGACTCTGTCCCTGGGGGTACTGAGAGGCACAAATTGATCTTTTTTCCCTCCTTCATCAGAGACACCAAAACATTTTTGTAAGGATACTGTGCTTTCTTATATTTCCACACACTGCTCCTTCTTTCCTTTTTTCCTCTGTGAAACATACAGTTTCATGAATCAGTAGTGAACAGTTGCAGAAGGTGAGCCCTCACGACTCTTGTATCCCTCCCAGCATTGGTGCTAATGCTGCCTCTTACCTGGTGCATAACAGCACCCATCCCTACCCCAGTCCAATGGTAAGAGCATTGAGACTCCTTCCAACCCATGGTGAAGAGAAGGGGTGGGGGGATTCTGATAAGTTTCTTTCATTGCAAATGCTGAGCAGACCATAAAAATAAATCCTGTCTGAACCTGACCTTCCGTTACTAACAGTTTGTGAAGTCATTTGAGAAAGGAACTAAGCTAAATAAACATAGTTTCATTGGTGGATTTACGACACTTTACAAGCAAGATTTATTAATACTTCCTTGGTATAAGGCCACGTTCTGGGCTCTGCCGGTCCACTGCACATAAAACAAATGGGAGCCTCACCTAAGTGTCCGAGGACAGGGCTGGACTCAGGTTATTCCTTCCAATTGTTCAACAGTGGATGCTGTGTTGAACTTTAGTCTGGACCAGACAGAAATGATGCTAAGAATGTTCATCAGTAAAGATGAAACACAGGTTCAAACAGCAGAATGAGACTTGCCAATCAAAGTATCAAGGAACGACAGGGAGTTTGGATCCGTCTTGTGAAAGAGTCTAAGTGCCTGCGGCCAGGAAAGTGATCTGAGTTCCTGCACCTCCAGATGACCAAAATATCTGTGAAAAGTTAGTCCTGTATGTGCCTGGATGTAAGATACAGAACCCCTTTATATTTGAGCCTTTTGAAGCCCCTTATACTCTATTTTAGATAAATATTATTTAGGGAAGACCAATTAGCCTACATAAACCTCAATCAATGTTAATTTCAGTTGCTTGTAGAAGCCAATCTGATGAAATCTATGTTATATAAATAAATGGAGCCCAGTCCCTACCCCCTAGATATTCTGATTTAATTGGTCAATGATTATACCCTGTAATAAATTTTTTTCTTTTTTTTTTTTTTTTGAGACGGAGTCTCGCTCTGTGGCCCAGGTGGGAGTGCAGTGGCGCAATCTCGGCTCACTGCAAGCTCCGCCTCCCGGGTTCACGCCATTCTCCTGCCTCAGCCTCCCGAGTAGCTGGGACTACAGGCGCCCGCCATCACGCCCGGCTAATTTTTTTGTATTTTTAGTAGAGACAGGGTTTCACCGTGTTAGCCAGGATGGTCTCGATCTCCTGACCTCGTGATCCGCCCGCCTCGGCCTCCCAAAGTGCTGGGATTACAAGCGTGAGCCACCGCGCCCGGCCAACAAATTTTTTTTCTATGAACCCTCAGGTGATTCTAAGTTGCAGCCAAGGTTGGAAAGCACTAACTTGATAAAATCAGCATATTTTTTTAGAATGGCTGATTTAGCAATTATTCTTAAAATTATGATAACCCCACAATGACAAAAGTTGGAGTTTTCACTGTTAGTCTTTAATAGGTGACAACTTAAAAGTGTTTTAAAATACAATAAGTGGTAAAATTATGGTGTTTATGAATATTTACCTACAAGAGTCATAAAAAATAAAAACCCTTCCTAGTGCTATACCAGTTGGTGATTGATACTTGGATAAAATTTCTGACGACAGTATCCAGGGATGCCTCATAAGGTTGTTTAGGTTATGCACTGCACAACTCCAAGGATTTGTTCCATTAATACAATGTTCACATCTCATTGCCTAGCTAATATTAAGGTTTTTGTCATACTTAGACATATGTGGAAAGATGTTCCTCTGACCATTTTGTACAGAAATGATAGCGGAAGTAGATTTTTTTCACTCAGCGAAGGAACTGAATTTTGCCTCTCAGTTGACACAGGATAAAACAGAATGTTCTCATGCTGAAGCTGGAGACAGAGAAGCTGTGGTGGACGTCTGTTATTTATAGCAATCCAGCTTCCCTGCCTCCTTTGTCTGGTATTAGACACCCCACCCCCACCCCGCCAACACACACATAGCTTTTCTCCTGGAGGAATCCATCCCATGTGGTGCGTATGTTACCTTTCCGGCTCTACCCTCATCACCACCACGGGGGTGAGCACATGCTAGGTCTGGTCAAACCACCCCAGAAAGTGATCGTTCAACAATGGACATAGGACTCAAGTGGAGCCTATAAGAGCGTTGCCAGGAGTTTTTTACAGGACCTGAGAAGATGCTCTCTCCATGGAGTTGATAAAGCTAATAGAATTTCTACTAGCAGAAGATGTTAATTGTTCTCCAATATCTGTTCCCTCTTTTTTTCACAATAATAAAGTTTCAGCTAGGCAAATGGTCTTACACAATACGTAGAATAAAAGCCTACATTTTCCAGCCTTCCTTGGAAAATGTAGCTACATATGGCCACATCAATGCCATGTAAGTGAAAATGTCATGTGAGAGCTTTCAGATACCTTTTTTAAGAAACAGTTGCTTTGTACCCTTCATCATTACTTCTCTCCTCGCGCATCTGCTGCTTGGGACATGGACATCATGGCCGGAGCTCCATTGTGAACCAGGGATGGCAAGGCAGAAAACTGTAATGATAAGCAGCTGAAGTCTTCTGGGGGACATAATTGTCTTACTTGCCGTGAATTGCTTACAACTAGACCCTTATGTGAGAGAGAAATAAACTATCTTGTTTAAGCCACTTAGCATTTTTCCTGTTACTTGCAGCTGTAATTAACTGCTGATTAATCTTGGTTAATTCATTGCCTTCATCAACTGTTCACCACACACAGAGACACTGCCTGAGCATGAAGACAACTCAGAGAAAGGCAGAGCAAAAACAAAAAGAATTCTGTTAATATAATTTGAGTCACCGGATCTAGTCACGCCTAAAGTCATGCTACCTTTTGAGTTTTTCAGTTAAATAAGCCAGCCTATTTACTTGTTGCTTAGGATGTTAAAACTTGAGTTTCTGTCATTTGCAACAACAACAATAAAAGTCCAGATGAATCAGCAACCATGAGGAAGTATTGCTCTCAATAATGCATATGACATTATTTTGACCAATTATGGGCTCTAGAATTGGGAGTCAGAATCAATGTATCTTGATATCTCCAGATTCTCAAGAGACAGAGAGGTCTAAACTGACATCTGGATTACATTATCATCCACATTATTCCTTTGCCATGGGCATATTGTTTCTATTATTTTAAACACCACATGGAGCTCCACAGGCTTGCAAGACATTTCCCTGGAAATTAATAATTCAGGAAGATTCACCTGGCTTCAAAGTACAGGAGGGACTGAAAGGATTTTGAAGGGTGGAATGGAATCGCAGAGACCAGTTAGGAGTAGGAATTGAGGTAACAGGGGCTTAGTGTTAGTGTGAATACATACAAAAGGACAACAGTTAAGAAAAAAAAAAAAATCTTACCTCTACCTTTAACACATGTTCTGTTCTACTGGTATTTTATATTAGTAAAGTGGTTCATAGTTCATGAAGTATTTTCACATACATTATCTCATTTGATACTTAAATAAGCAAAGTGAGTAACTAGTGTTACCATTTTACAGAAGTGGAAACTGAGGCTTAGTGTGGGTATGGGTCTTACCCAAAGTCATGTTGGTGTCAGAGCAGGGGCCAAAACCCAGATTTTCTGATTAGCAGTTGAATCTGGATGCATTGGCTCTCTCCGTACAGAGACTTACCTATAAGCAAAATTTTCTTTTCAAGCAACTTCATTCAGTTTTGTTTGTGAATTCTACTTCATTGTTAGTCATTTCATTGTTCTCTTCTTACTCATTACCTGTCCTGAGAAGTGATGTAGGCTGAGAGACAAAACTTTATCCTAATATGAATCATCTTTATAATGCAATATTGGAACCAAGGAGTGTGTGTGTGGGGACTGGGGGAGTGGAATTAGGAACTACCAAACAGCAACAAAAACCACAACGTTGAGTACCAGAGAATGAATTTACGGTAATTTAAAAAATCTTTTTCTCTGCTTAGTGCCTCCAATACGAGATCACCTCTTGTTCATTATGGCACCAGTAGGCCTGATTATTTTAATAATTTACCATTTCAAGGAGCCATGGAGACAGAAAGGAAATTGCTTTTAGACAATGTGTTATTCAAGCAAACGGAAATGGTTTCTGAACCACAGAAAACAAATAAACATGCCTCTACCTGGAACTTCATTAGTGTTTGCCTGTTGTCTGGCGCTAAAGGATGTGCTTTAAAAAAATGGTGCAGTGTGTGCTTGGAGATTCTGAATGTTAGTGGGGCTATCTGAACTCTAAAAGAAGAGGATGTTGACTGTGTCTAGGACCACTGAACTTGGATGAACTCCTACAGGCTGGGTGTGAAACCACATGCTAAATGTCTTCCCATACAGCAAAATAAGATGCCAAATCCTTAATGGTCAGCTCAGTTTTTATAACTTCTCAAGAAGCATATTTTATTATTACTCAAAATATAATGCAAGTATACCATGTATAGCTGTGGTATAAGAACATTAATCAGAACATTGATACATGGTGCTCTAGTGACACTGTAAAGCCTTCTAGAAGAATTACCCATCTTCTGTTCTTATCATGTCTATTAATGTGCCTTTCATCCTTTGCTTGTGAATTAAAAAATACGTTGTTTGGAATTCTGTGGGATCCTGCTGAATTCCTTAGGACCATGGTCAAACATAGCTAAATGGTTATCCTTTTCCATAATATTATTCTTGGGCATGGAAAGGAGTATCTTTTTAATAAAGGAAAATTGGCAGGGGGATTCCTTGCAGTGCAGGCCTGGTTTGGCACAAAAAGTGAGGTGTTAGAGATGCAAACATCTCATCTTCAGATCCGCAGCTGGCAAAAACACAAGGGGACACATTTCCCTGGCAAGACTGGGCCATCTGCAGCACCACAGTGGGCCTCAAGTCTCTGGACTGACCTTCGATCAAATGGTAGAAATCCAGAGTAAAGCAATGTGACCTGGCAAACAGAGGCTCCTGGAGCAGAGTGTGTGATTTCTTCCATTCCTGCAGAGATCCTCATTTGGCTGGAAGTCCACCCGAGAGACCAAGTGTTTCCAGATATTTGGCAGAAAAAGAAATACTCTCTTTTCAGCTTTCTCTAATTCAAAGAAATAGAATGCTGACAAGAAAATATGAGTATCATCCATCCTTCTGATATAGCATTAATAGCTGTACAGATTTTAATGTTTATACATAATGGTGCTAACAGTGGCTGCTTATATGGTCATTATAAGACTACAACATTTTTTAAGCTATAGGATATGATGAGAGATAGTAGATGAAATATGTGGATGCATGTATTTATGCATATGTATATATACATGCATGTAACTGCATGTGTGTGGCATGATACATGATGAAATATGAATGCATGTGCATACATGCACAGTGTATGTGTATATGCATGTGTGTGTGTATACACAAGTGGTATATTGAGCATGCAGGACTCAAGAGGTGTAATCACAAAAAGCCATTTTGCTTTTGTTTTCTATCTTCTGCTGTCTTTCGTAGGCAGGGGACATCTTCCTCTTCCCCTGGATGGAAATAAGCAATCCCATGCTTTTTCTAAGCATACCTAGGATATACAAAATCCTATGATCACTTTAAGTTGTAAAATATAATCCTTAATTCAGATACTAGAAATTCCAGCTGCATGTATGAACCAGTGTGGCAGAAGCTACCATGTTCTCCACCCCATTCCCCATTCCATTTACCAGGCAGGTACACCCATCTCTCAGTTGCTGTGAAGATTACCTAGGCATGGTTTCCGGAGTGTTCTCTCAGAACTGCCATTAGCTGGCAGGTACCATCCTGCCTGGTAAATCTTGACCCCCTCACCACACACACACATCAAAGACTGATTACAAAGGGACAAAAGGCCAGCCTGTGGTTCTAGGAGGAACAGTCTGCTGTGCAACTTACATACAAACCACTCCCCCACAGATGAGGGAAGGCTAGATGTCTCCTGAAATCACATACTTGCTTGGCTTCTTCTTCTTCATCCCTAACCTTACTGACTTTTTCTGAAGAGCATTCCTTAAAATTTTGTTCTCCCCTAAATCCCACTCTCAGACTCTGCTTCTAGAAAACCCAATCTAAGACAAAACAAAATTGAAAAAAAAAAACTCTATTTTAATTCAAAATTAAGACTCCCCACCCTCCAGTTAAGGTACAGCTGTAAGCAGGAAGGTCACCAGCCTTCAGAGAAGGGGGATGGTTAATTTCTTATTACATTACCTGCCCACCACCACCACACTCATGGCCTGCTGGCTGCTATTATCAAATCATTTTCCTGTATCAATTGAAATGAACATACAATTTTTTTAAATGTTTAAGACTATAAATACATTGAAATTCATTGAGATTTTCTAATGTTGACCATTCATATACTTCTGGTGGGAAAAAAAAAAACCTTACTTAATGATGATGTTTTGTATATTTTGAGACTATATTTTTAGCACACACTCACATCCCTTTAGTTTCTACTCCTCTCTTCTCCACACTGATATTATCTAGAATTTTACTTCTGGATTCTTAACAGCTTCTCCGATCCCCACCCACCCACTACCTTTGGTTTTTAAAATTTTTTTAGACAAACTTGAGAATATTTATTTAGTCATCCTTATTTGCCATGTTTAATAGAAAAAATAAGCAATGAAATAATATAATCAGCTAATTTGCAGAAGATGAGATCTCAGTGACCAATAAGCATATAAAAGATAGGCAAACTGACTAGTGATCAAATTAAAACAAGTAGAAGTCATCACACACTAATGAAATCACAGGAAAAAAAAACCAATATAAAAGCTGAGGACACCAATGGCTGGAAAGAAAGTGGGGAAATGGAATTTAGACATTGCTTGTGGAAGAACAAATTAGTACAACTACTTTGGAGAGTTAATATGGCACTCCCCAGAAAAACTGAAAAATGTGCATAGCACATTAATTATACTTCTAGACATGTCCTTCAGGCCTAGAAAAAAATTTGTCCCTGTGGCCAAGAAGAACTACAAAGACGATTTTTACTGCACTGTTTTGAAACAGGGGAAAATGGAAAATAACCTAAATGTTCATAAGAAAGGAATGGATGAATAAATGGTAGTTTATTTATACAATGGAATACTACGCAGCTGTTGAAATGAATGAATTAGATCTTCATGGATAAATCTCAGAAGCATACTACTGAAGAGACAGGACCAATCTAAAGTTGCAAAATGGTACATATGATTCCATCTATGTAAACTTTCAAAGCACAAAATAATATATATGCTCATGAACATACATACATAGAACAAAAGCATGAAAACCTTCATAAAAATGCTATCAGCAAATTCAGAAGAGTGGTGATTCCCAAGGATGGGCATGAGGGATGGGAAACAGATGGGAAAAGGATAATATTAGATGCATTCATAATACTTCCTTACAATTACCCAAACAAAAATGATCTGAAGCAAATAGACAAAAGGCTAACATGTTAAATCTAAGGAGGTGGATACACGAGTATCTGTTACACTTATTTTCTGTATGTTAAAAATATTCAGCAATAGTAGAGTACAGGAATATGTTTGGCTGACCATTTGGAGGCCAAGCTTGTTTCTGATCTCTGCTACAGACAGTTATGTCCTCTAGAACACATTTTTTTACCATCTTCAATCTCAGTTCTTTTCTTTGTAAGTGAAAGGTAATAACATTTTGCCCCAGCCTGCTTCAGTGTTTGAAAGATGACCAAATAAAATAACATATGTAAAAAGCCACGTTGGAAACCATTAAGAGCTTTAAAAAAGTTTAAAGACTTATTGCTGTTTGTATGTTGACATGTAAAATATGAATATCCATAAAATATAATAATGCTAGTTCAGAGGCCCAATATCAACATATTGTACATTTTTACTATGGGTTTTTATATGGCTATTTTGACTCTGCAAAATTATTCTTGTCATCTTATTCTGCGCTGGTGGCTTGACAAGGAGAGGGAGAAAATCAGGCCCTATCATTCCTCCCAAATCTATCGTTGAAACACTCTAAGGATTTGAGAGTTAAAGCACAAAGATCTACCAGCAACCACTGGGAGAAAAACACTGCATGTAAACATGGTGGGTTAGGAAACATCAGTTTCACGAAGAAGACCACTGGCTAAGAATCACAATATATGCTTCTACTTAGAGATTAAAATTTGTATTTTAAATAATAGCTTTTGGAAAAAGGATGTAAAGTGAAGGAAGAGCAACAGGAGCTTTTAACACGGGTATTCTTCTCAGTTGTGCTCTTCTCAATAAATGAAATCTCCTCGAAAACATTTGTTAGATAGAAGCAATTAAGGCGGAGGCTCTATCCTCTCTCCACTAATTAATTACAGCAAATGAGCCTGTAATGTGCATCATAACAACTTAATAAGCTGGACCAAACTATTTTAGATTCTGCCATGCTAGTATTTGATTGTTGCTGGGCTATGTAAATTAGGTAAGTAATATCTGAACATAAATAGCTTTTGAATTACCTGTGTCCTTCAAAATAAACTCTATATCTTGAGCAGATGTGCTATTTACAAGAAAGGGGTGAGAGCAGAGAATGGTATAGCAGATATGAGGACAGGGAAAGGAGGTGGAGACAGGGAAAACATGAGAGCTTACACAAACTATCATATTATCTTCAATAATTTAATATCCATCCTTTCTACAGCATGTTACAGCAGCCAACTGGATGACATTCCAACAACTCTGTCACATTTTTCAATTTCTGTTGGACCTGAACATTGAAGAATACATAGCTGTATTAGCCTCCCTTTTTTGACATCATTGGTTATATTATCAATTCTTGCCTCAAATATCTAACTGAACCTTGATCAAATTGTGACTAATACAAGCTCTTTAGTAATGTCTCTGCTTTTAATGAAACTTTAAAGAAAATTAGTGACTTATTGAGTCAATGAATAGACTTTGTACATCTGGGGATGAGTTCAAATACGGCTTACTGTCAACGAAACAAGCAAGAGCCCCAGACTAGCTGTGAATTATCTCAGACACAATTATCTGAAACTTTAAAGGCTGGTTTCTTTAAAAATCAAAGGTCAATATGTCTTCCAGGGAATAGCATCTGCTACCACCTCAACGTGTTAATTGACTAACTTCAGCAAATATCAAACAGATCCTCATCTCCCCTTCCTCAAAGTATAAATTGTTCACTGCCCACGAAGGTATAATTCAGGCATTTCCAGATTGGAAGGAGAAGAGGGCATAGGCAAGCAGATCTGGAGGTTTATCAGGTGATCTTTTCTGTAGACCCTTCTTTTTTGTTTATTATTTGTGTCAAGTTTCTCCAGAACATTAGAGCCAGGCATTTCCACGACAGAATGAAAAAGAAAGTTGTACAATTTTCTTAAATATTCTTGAAACATGAGCTGTTTAGTGTCAGAGGGGAGCCTAGCGGTTTGACCAACCAGAAGAATAAGCATAGGCTAGCGACAAAGAGAATAATTAATCAGTTATCTTCCTCTCTTCTCATTGTTGCACCCGTCATCTCTGGGATGTAATGGGTGAAAATGTAGACACGCACACAAAATCTATTTGAGGCCTAAGGGCAACTTTAATAGTGACACAAACTGGAATTGAACACATTTATTGAAGTCTGTTCCAAAATACATTTCATCCTCAAATTTATGATGCTCTTAGAATAAGGAGTAAATATATGCATACCTTTCAGGAGTCATGGTTTTGGTAAAATTTTGGACAGAATTGACACTGGACTATAAAATTGGGGCTCTAGGCTGGGAGCTGTGGCTCGTGCCTGTAATCCCAGCACTTTGGGAGGCCGGGGTGGGCAGATTACAAGGTCAGGAGATTGAGACCATCCTGGCTAACACAGTGAAACCCCGTATCTACTAAAAAATACAAAAAATTAGCCAGGCATGGTGGTGGGCGCCTGTAGTCCCAGCTACTCAGGAGGCTGAGGCAGGAGAATGGCACGAACCCGGGAGGCGGAGCTTGCAATGAGCCAAGATCACGCCACTGCACTCCAACCTAGGCGTCAGAGTAAGACTCTGTCTCAAAAAGAAAAAAAAAAAAAATTGGGGCTCTAACTCATTTCTTCTCTCACACCATCCCTTCCATCTCCCTTTTCCCAAGCAGGGTCTATTTTTGGCAAGTTCTTGCTAAGATGTCAAATAATAAAAATTTCAGGTGTGTCCTCTCCCAGGTGAATATGCATTTTTAAAAGGCAACTCCAAAACGGCAAAGCCTTTAAAGCTCTAAGGAATGACAGGCACAGGGATGTGTTGGTATATGATCAAGCCTCGGTGCCCTGTCAGTACTTCACTGATCTATTTACTGCTAAGGCCAGTCCAGGAGATACTCGAGCAATCAGAACAGACCAGTGAAGAGATATCTACATTGTGTTTACTCTTGTCCAGTAAATGAAAGAGTGTAAAGAAATTCCAGCTTTGAGAAAACTGTTCCTGAATTAGATATTTTCATTAAAATATTCTCTGCATACAAAAATATCTACGCAAGCAATTTGAAAAGGCATGGGATCAGTTTAAATCTTACATGCCTGAAAGTATAAGAAGGTTCAGTCAGCAATATATAACCAACTAAAACCTTTTTCTTCAACAAGGAAAGCCAATACTTCTATATACCTTTGTCATTCATCGACAGGCCATAAATCTACTGTGCATTTGCTTAGAAGAGAAAACTTGAGATACAGTCTTACTTATATTTCTCTCACTCCTACTATTCTCTAGATATTCTATTTCTCTGACTCCTGCTATTCTCTAGATATTCTTTCCTCAACTGTCACACTGCCCCTGTGGTTTTGCACAGTCTCAAATGCTCCAATCTCTTGGCTAGGTTAACAAGCTTATCCAGCTCACCTAACTGGGGAGGACTTCTCTGAAGTTCCATGATGGCACTTCACAGAACAGCTTGGCAGCCTTGAATTCCAATAATAGAAAAGTTATCTTAAACAATAGCTCATTTTATTTACATCAAGTTTATCAACGTCATATCAACCCTAGAACAGTGTTCTCATTTAAAAAACAAACTCCATCAAGACAAGTTCTTCTCTAGGGTTGTTCCTTCTCTTAGCATTAGGGCTGACATTTAAGGAAGGTATACTGGTGTAAAATATTTTATCTCGTCTAAAGATTTATATCAGCTATTCAAATACTTAAAAGCAATGCATTATTTTCCTTGAACCTGTTCACATTTATTATACATCAAATAATTGATTTTCATGAAATCCTCCTCTTGCTTGGCAGAAAGTCATTCTCTTTATTTTTTTATTGATATATAATAGATGTAGATATTTTGAGGCTACATGAAATAATTGCATATATCCATATAATTTGTAATGATCAAATCAGTGTGATTGGAATATCCATCACCTTAACTATTTGTCTTTTCTTTTTGCCAGAAACCTTTGAGTTATTCCCTTCTAGCTATTTTGAAATATAGAATATTATAAACTATAGTCACCCTACTGATCTATCAAACACTACATCTTATTTCTTCTATCAAACTGCATATTTATACCCAATAATTAGCCTCCCTTCATCCCCCCTCTCCCTACCATTTTTGGCCTCTCATAACCATTATCTACTCTCTGTCTTCATGAGATCCACTTTTTTAGCTCTCACATATGAATGAGAACATGCAATATTTGTCTTTCCGTTATTTCACTTAACATTATGATCTCCAGTTCCCATGTTGCTTGCTGCAAATGAAAGGATTTCATTCTTTTTATGGTTAAATAATATTCTATTGTGTATATGTACCACATTTTTTTATTCATCCCTGGGTGGGCACTTCCCTTGATTTGATCTTTTGGCTATCGTGAATAGTGCTGCAACAATAAACATGGGAGTACAGAGATATCTTCAATATATTGATTTCCTTACTTTTGATACATACCCAGTAGTGAAATTACTGGATCATATGGGAGTTCTATTTTTAGTTTTTTGAGGAACCTCCATAGAGTTTTTTCCACAGTGGCTTTACTAATTCACATTCCCACCAACAATGTCCTAGGGCTCCCTTTCTGCACATCTTTGTTGGCATTCGTTATCCCCCTTTTTTATGAAAGCTATTTTAACTGGAGTGAGGTGATATCTCATTATGGTTTTGATTTGCATTTCTCTGATGGTTAGTGCTGTTGAGCATTTAAAAAATATATCTGATGGCCATTTGTATGTCTTCTATTGAGAAATGTCTATTCGGATCTCTTGTCCATTTTAAAACATCAGAATATTTGTTTTTTTGCTATTGGGTTGTTTATGCTGCTTATATATTCTGCTTATTAATCCTTTGTCAGATGGGTAGTTTGCAAATATTTTCTCCCATTCTGTGAGGTGTCTGTTCACTTTGTTAATTGTTTCCTTTGCTGTGCAGAAGTTTTTAGCTTCATATAACTCCATTTGTCTCTTTTTGCTTTGGTTTCCTGTGCTTTGAGATCTTACCTAAAAATTCTTTGCCCAGACCAATGTCCTGGAGCATTTCTTCAATGTTTTTTTTTTTTTTTCCTAGTGGTTTCATAGTTTCAAGTCTTAGGTTTAAGTCTTTAATCCATTTTTATTTGATTTTTGTACATCGTGAGAGATAGAGATCTAGTTTTATTCTTCTGCATATGGTTATCCAGTTTTCCCAGCACCATTTATTGAGAAGACTGTCCTTTTTCCATTGTATGTCTTTGATGCCTTTGTCAAAAATGAGTTGGCTGTAAATGCATGGATTTATATCTGTGTTCTCTATTCTGTTCCATTGGTCTATGTGTCTGTTTGTATGCTTGTACCATGCTGATTTGGTTATTATAACTTTGTAGTATATTTTGAAGTCAGGTAGTGTGATGCCTACAGCTTTGTTCTTTTTACTTAGGGTTGCTTTAGCTATTTGAGGCCTTATGTGGTTCCATATACATTTTAGAACTGTTTTTTTACTATTTCTACATTGAATCTGTATGTTGCTTTGGATAGTATTGTCACTTTAACAATATTAGTTCTCGCAAACCATGAACACAGAATATCTTTCCTTTTTTGTGTCTTCTTCAATTTCTTTAATCAGTGTTTTATAGTTTTCCTTATATAGATCTTTCACTTTTTCAGCTAAACTGCTTCTGGATCATTTTATATTATTTGTAGATATTGTAAATGGGGTTGCTTTCTTCATTTTTTTTAAATATTATTTGCTGTTAGTGTATAAAATGTTACTGCTTTTTGTGTGTTGCTTTTGTATCCTGCAACTTTACTAAATTATTTTATCCATTCTAGCAGTTTATTTTTGGAGTCTTTTTTTTTTCTTAATCTTTTATTTTAAGTTCAGGGGTATGTGTGCAGGATGTGCAGGTTTGTTACATAGGTAAACGTGTGCCATGGTGGTTTGCTGCACAGATCATCCCATCACCCAGGAATTAAGCCCAGCATTCATTAGCTGTTCTTCCTGATGCTCTCCTTCCCCCAACCTCACCCCCTCGGATAGGCCCCAGTGTGTGTTGCTCCCCACCATGTGTCCATGTGTTCTCATCATTCAGTGCCCACTTGTAAGTGAGAACATGTGGTGTTTGGTTTTCTGTTCCTGTGTTAGTTTGCTGAGGATAACGGCTTCCAACTCCATCCATGTCCCCGCAAAGAACATGATCTTGTTCCTTTTTATGGCTGCATAGTATTCCATAGGTGAAGTCTTTAGGTTTTTCTAAGTATAACATCATGTTGTCTGCAAACAAGGGTAATTCAATTTCTTCCTTTCCAATTTGGATGCCCTTTATTTCTTTCTCTTGCATAATTGCTGTGGCCAGGACTTCCAGTATTATGTTAAATAAAAGTGGTAAAAGTGGGCATCCTTGTCTTGTTCCAGATCTTAGAGGAAAGTCTTTCAATTGTTTCCCATTTAGTACTACATTAACTGTGAGTTTGTCATATATGACCTTTATTATTCTGAGGTACATTCCTTCCATTTCCAGTTTGTTGGGGGTTTTTGTCATAGAGGGATGTTGAAATTTATCAAATGCTTTTTTTGGCATCTATTGAAATGATTATACGGTTTTTGTTCCAGGTTCTGTTAATGTGATGTATCATGTTTATTGATTTGCATATATTGAGCCATCCTTGCATCCCTGGAATAAATCCTACTTGATCACGATAAATGATCTTTTTAATGTGTTGTTAAATTCAGTTTGCTAGTATTTTGTTGAGAATTTTTGCATCAATATTTATCAGCAATATTGGCCTGTAGTTTTCTTTTTTGTTGTGTCCTTGTCTAGTTTTGGTATAAGGGTAACACTGACCTCATAGAATGTATTCCCTCCTTCTCAATTTTTTTAAAGAGGTTGAGTAGAACTGATATTAGTTCTTCTTTAAATGTTTTGTGTAACTTAGCAGTGAAGCCATCAGGTCTTGGGCTTTTCTTTGATGCGATACTTTTTATTACAGCTTTGATCTTGATACTTGTTATTGATTTGTTGAGGTTTTCTATTTTCTCATGGTTTAATCTTGGTAGGTTGTATATGCCCAGAAACTTTTCTAGGTTTTCCAATTTGTTGGCATATATAGTTGTTCATAATAGTCTCTAATTATTGTCTGTGTTTCTGTGGCTTCAGTTGTTATGTTTCCCTTTTGTTTATGATTTTATTTATTTGAGTCTTTCATGTTCCATGTGCTGATAGAAGAATGTGTATTCTGTAGCAGCTGGGTGAAATTTTCTGTAAAAGTCAATTAGGCTCATTTGTTCTCATGTGTAGTTTAACTCCAGTGTTTCTTTGTTGGTTTTATGTCTGGATGATTTGTCCATTACTGAGAGTAGGATGTCGAATCCCCTACTTTTATTGTATTGTAGCCTATCTCTCCCTTTAGATCTATTAATGTTTGCTTTTATACTTGGAAGCTCCATTGTTGGGTATATAGATATTTATAATTGTATATTGTCTTGCTGAATTGTCCCCTTTCACGTTATATAATGATTTTCCTTGTCTCTTTTTATAGTCTTTGATTTTTAGTCTATGTATTAGTCCATTTTCATACTGCTAAAAAGAACTACCTGAGACTGGCTAATTTATTTTTAAAAAAGAGAGAGAAAGAGCTTTAATTGACTCACAGTTCCACATGGCTAGAGGGGCCTCAGGAAATTTATAATCATGGTGGAAGGCAAAGGGGAAGCAAGACACATCTTACACAGCAGCAGTAGCAAGAGAGAACAAGGGGGTAACTGCCACACTTTTAAACCATCAGATCTCATGAGAACTCACTCACTCTCACGAGAACAGCATTGGGGGAAACTGCTGCCATGATCCAATCACCTCCCATTTGGTCTCTCCCCTACACATGGGGATTACAATTTGAGATGAGATTTGGGTAGGGACACAGAGCCAAACCATATCAGTCTACTTTATCTGATAAAAGTATAGCTGCTCCTGCTCTTTTTTGGTTTCCAGTTTCATGGAATATATTTTTTCATTCCTTCACTTTAAGTCTATATGTGGTCTTTAAAGATGAAGGTGGTTTCTTGTAGACAGGATATATTTGGGTCTTATTTCTTTATCCATTCAGCTATGCTGTGCCTTTTATTTTTGATTTATTTTTATTTTTTAAAGATAGGATCTTGCTCTGTTGCCCAGGCTGAAGTGCAGTGGTGAAATGGAGTGCAGTGGTGCAATCATACCTCACTGTGGCCTCAAATTCATGGATTCAAGGGATCCTCCTGTCTCAGCCTCCCAAGTAACTGGGACTATAGAGATGTACCTCCATATTCAGCTAATTATAAAATTTTTTTTTATGTAGAGATGGGGTTTTGCTATGTTGCCCAGACTGGGCCCGAACTTCTTGCCTCAGGCAATTCTCCCATCTGAGCCTCCTAAAGTGCTGGGATAATAGGAATGAGCCACTGCAGTTGGGTCCTCTGTGCCTTTTAGTTGGAGAATTAAACCCTTTTACATTCAGTGTTATTATTGATAAGTAAGGACTTACTACTTCCATTTTGTTGCTTATTTTCGGGTTGTCTTGAAACTCCTCTCTTCCTTTCTTCCTTTTTATTATCTTTCTTTGTGGCTAGGTTATTTTCTCTGGTAGTATGTTTTAATTCATTACTTTTTATTTTTAGTGAATTTATTAGAGGTTTTTACACTGTGGTTACCATGAGGCTTACAAAAAGACATCTTATAGATATAATAAGTTATTTTAAAGAGATGACAATTTATCTTAGATCATAAAGAATAGAAACAGAGAAAAAAGGAAGAAACCTCTATACTTTAACTCCATACCTCCTACATTTTGACTTTACGTTGTCTCAGTTTACATGTTTTATATTGCCTATATCTTGAGATTTCTATAGCCATTATTGTTTATCTTTTATGCTTCATACTAGAGTTATGAGTTGATTGCATAACACAATTACAGCAGTAGAGTATTCTGGGTTTGTTAGTGTATTTAATTTTACCTATGGGTTTTATTCTTCCAAATGTTTTATTTTTGCACATTAGTGGGATTTTTTTTTCTCAGATTGAAATCTTCCCTTTAGCATTTCTTATAAGACAGGTCTGGTGGTGGTGAATTCTCTCAGCTTTTCTTTGTCGTGGAGAAACATTATCTCTTCTTCATATTTGAAGGATAGCTTTGCTGGATACAATACTCTTAGATGGCAGACTTTTCTTTCAGCACTTTGAAAATGTTGTCTCACTCCATCTTTGCCTGTATAGTTTCCGTTGAGAAGGTTGTCAAACAAATTGGAGCTCTGTTATTTGTTATTTGCTTTCTTTCTCTTGATGCCTTTAGAATCCTCTCTCTGTCCTTCATTTTTGAAAATTTGATTATTATATGCCTTGGGGCAGTCTTATTTGGGTCAAATCTGTTTGTTGTTCTCTGACCTTCTGGTACCTGGATATTTATCTCTTTCTCAAGTTTTGAAAAGTCTTCCATTATTATTTATTTAAATCATTTTCTACTCCTTTTTGTTGCTCAACTCCCTCTTGAACATCAATAATTCTTAGATTTGGTCTTTTGAGGCAATTTTCTATACTTTGTAGGTGATTTTCATTCCTTTGCATTCTTTTTTATTTTTTCTCTTTGATTGTATATTTTCAAATAGCCTGTCTTCAGGCTCACTAATTATTTCCTCTACTTGATCCATTCTGCTATTGAGAGCCTCTAATACATTTTTCAGTTCAGCAAATGCATTTCTCAGTTCTGATATCTCTGTTTGATTTTTAAAAGTTATTTCAATCTCTGTTAAATTTCTCAGAAAAAATTCTGAATTGATTTTCTGCCTTATCTTGGAGATCATTGAGTTTCCTTAAAACTGCTATTTAGCTTTCTTGGTCAAAGAGTTCATATATTGCCATCTCATTGTGGTCAGTCACTGGTTTCTTTTTGTGTCCACTGGAGAGGTCATGGCTCTATTTGCTGTTGTTTATTATGAATGTACATCTATATCATTGCATTGATGAATTAGTTATGTATTTCAGTCTTCTGTCTGGCTTGTTTGGGTTTTTACTGGATATGTTTGCTTAGAGATTCTTTGTAATTTACCTGTTGATTATCTTTCTCTTTTTTTCTTTAGGTTTCTGCCTCCTTTTCCGCACTAGATAGTGCCTCAAGCCCAGGTTTGCTTCAGTTCTAGTAAACAGAGTGCCAGCCAGGGGACCTGTAGAATGAACTTTCTACAGTGTAGTGCTGCTGAACAGTCACTCTGATTTGGTGTCTCCTTTGGTCCAGGTACAGAGCAGAGTTTCCAGGGCTGGGGTTACTAGTGCCCCCCTCCCCTTTGCCTTTATCTCTCTTTAGGGATATTTCTTTATTCAGTTACTCCTGATGCTTCCTGTGGGTTCAAGCAGGGAAAGTTCTCCTGGCATGGAACCCAAGGTGATGAGGAAGCTGGTTATCCCCTATGATCTCACTTTTACTAGTGTGGAAACCATGGGTTGGGGGAAATTTTTAATCACTCTTGTTGCCAGATTAGGAGGAGGCATTACAAATATGAAAGTCAGATTCTCTTACCATCTGCTCAGGGCTTTTTCACTTATTTGTGGCCCTGGGAACTGTCTCATCCTCATATTTTAGTTCTGGGATATTGCTGGTTATAATCTCAGTAATGTATATTTGTTTTATATGGGAAGAAGTGAAGCCAGCTTGCTTTTACAAAGCCATTGTGGAACCAGAAGACCCCCACTCCTTTACTCTCAGGAGACTGAATATTTTGAGAAAATCACTGTATTAGGTTAGTCTAAGTGATGGGAATTTGATTCTTCCATGACATCGTATCAGTTTTTTTTTAACTAATGAAAATTGCTAAGTGAAAAAGTAGGATAAGAAATTTGTCTATATATTATTGGAATAACCACATTAAAACAAACAGCAAAATTTATTTGTAGATGGCAAACAAACAAGACGGGTTTTCAACTTCAATAGGCACCAAGAAAATGAAACCACAGTGTGTACTACACTGGAATGGTTAATTTTATGTGTCAACTTGACTAGGCTAAGGGATGCCCAGATAACTGGTAAAACATTACTTCTGGGTGTGTCTGTGAGAGTGTTTCTAGAAGTGATTAGCATTTGAATCAGAGACTGAGTAAAGAAGATCTTCCCTCATTATTCATAAATTGAGGGCCTGAATAGAACAAAAAGGTAGAGGAAGGGCAAATTTCCCCTCCTTTCTTAAGTTGGGATGTCTGTCATCTCCTGCTCTCAGACATTGGAGCTCCTGGTTCTCTAAGGCCTTTAGGACTCCAGCTGGCCTTCTCCAACCTCTACCCCATGGCTCTCGGTCTTTTGGACTTGGAATGACTTACATCACTGGCTTTCCTGCGTCTCCAATTCCTTATAGAAGGAATTTACTACATATGTATACATATATATGTAGTAAATTTTATATATGTAAATTAAAAATATATATATTTACATACACACATATGTACACACACACGCACACCTCCTTTTGGTTCTGTTTCTCCGGAGAACACTGACTAACACACCCACTTATACCAGAGTGCCTAAAATCTAAAAAGATGTGAAAGGCCAAGTGGAGAGAGCAGAACTCTCATATGGTACTGGTAGAAAGGAAACTTGGTACAAATACTTTGAAGATCTGTTCAGCATTATCTATTTAGACCAAATACATACATATCCTGTTACCTGACAATTCCATTTTTAGGTATATTTCCAACAGAAATGCATACATACATTCACCTAAATACATGGACCGGAATGTTTATAGCATAACCTTAAATCAAAAACTATCAAATGTCCATCACCAATTAAATGGATAACTGTATCAGAGTACATTCACAGAATCAAATACTCTGCAACTATGAAGGTAAATCATCTACAATTGTGCACAAAAATATGAATTAATCTCACATACATGGAGTCAAATGAAAGAAGCCAGATATAAAAGCATATACACGTGAGATTCCATTTATATGAAGTACAAAAACAGATGAAACTAACTAATGTCATGTGTATGCTATTTATGTCACGAAGGTGCAAAGAGGAAGTCAAATGCCCACAGGATGAATAGGAATATTCATCCTCCATACTTTCCCCTTCTCCCATGAGAGGGTCCCACCACAAGCACTACACACAATAAAACTAAGTTTTCAAATGAACGCTATTGCTGAAGCTGAGAATAAGAAGGCACAAAGCCATGGAGACACACTTAATGCTGCTCACAGGACAGAAAATGTCATTCCCACAAACTCAGACCCTGACTATCAAGAAAGAGGTTTTTCTTTCATTTTTCCCATTTATGTTCCCATCAGAGCACAGAAATACTGTGATTTAGGCTATAGTTATAAATGAAAACTAGTTAGGTGTGATGTGGTAGAGGAAAGGGTTATTAAGTATGGTGATAAAGAATACGAGTAGACTTATTTAATGTGTTTTACACCAAGACATTTGCCAGGAACTATTATAAACATTTACTTTACCCATACTCTTTATGAGAAAAGTTGCAGGTGAATATTGCGCTAAGACTCCCTCTAATTTGTTTAAACTGTGCACAAACAGACCACATAAAGGCTCAGAAGACATTGACAGAGGATATTGCTATAATTGAATACAATTTACAACAAAGATAATCTGACACGTATTTAGTGATATGTATGAAAGCTAATTTTGCTAGGTAAAGAGCAAGTGGCCCATGATATGGTTTGGCTCTGTGTTCCCACCCAAATCTCATTTTGAATTATAATCTCCACATGTCAAGGGAAGGACCTCATGGGAAGTGATTGGATCATGGGGGTGGTTTTTCCCATGCTGTTCTCATGATAGTGAGGGAGTTATCACAAGATCTGATGGTCCTAAAGTGTGGCACTTCCCCTTTGCTTGTTCTCTTTGTCTCTCCTCCTGGTGCCATGTAAGACGTGCCTTGCTTCTCCTTTGGCTTCCACCATGATTGTAAGTTTCCTGAGGCCTCCCCAGCCATGTGGAACTGTAGGTCAATTAAACCTCTTTTATTTATAAATTACCTGGTCTCAGGTACTATTTTTATAGCAGTGTAAAAATGGACTAATACAGTACATATAAGTAGTTAAATGAGGATTATTTTTACTTGGTCAACCAAGTCTCTCTCTCTCTCTCTCTCTCTCTAATTTGCTATCCTACAACTTTTTCCATGGTAAGGATCCTTCTTTTCTCTTTGTGCCCCTGTGGCAGAGGCTGGCACCAAAAATTCTCAACAGGTGATTGTTGAATGGAGAACATCCCATATTGATAATTTATCCTAGACCTCTCTCTTTCATCAGGATTTCTTGTGCTCCATCCATCCATAATGGCTCGTCACTCTCAGTGGGGTCCTTGACACATTTCTTTTTTCTTCTTCACTTTCAGTTTCCTTGAGCCACTTGTCCAACTGCTTATCACTTACCACCCACAACCCCCACCCTTCTCCACCCACAGATCTACCTATCTCATGCCCTGGGTTTAAAAATATGAAAGCAGTAGAACTCTGGGATACAGGCAGATGGCAAATCAACAAAGGCTGGGATTCTCAGCCCTGTCTGCACATTAGAATCACTTGGGGATCTTTTAAAATATACTGACGCCCATACCCTACTGCAAGAAATTCATACTTGGTTTGTCTGGGATGGATCCCTGGCAGCTGTATTTTTAAGTGTGCCACTTAATTCCAACACAGTCAGGGCTAAGAACTACTGCCTAGAGGATTAATGTATTCACTAGACGTGGGGAAGGACCACACATATAGCAGGACATAGGAGAAAGGAGAAGGGGCTGTAAGTGTAAACTGTGGGCATCTTGAGGCATAAAGGAGGAAGAGTTGGGGTGGAGAGAAAAACCAGTTGAGCAAGAAGACCTATCCTTGGTCAGGGATTGGGCCCTGCTAAAAAGAAGCTGGTAGGCTGGGCGTGGTGGCTCATGTCTGTAATCCCAGCACTTTGGGAAGCCGAGGCAGGCGGATCACGAGGTCAGGAGATCGAGACCGTCTTGGCTAACGTGGTGAAACCCTATCTCTACTAAAAATACACACACAAAAAATTAGCCGGGCGTGGTGGCAGGCGCCTGTAGTCCCAGCTACTCGGGAGGCTGAGGCAGGAGAATGGCATGAACCCGGGAGGCAGAGCTTGCAGTGAGCCGAGATTGCACCACTGCACTCCAGCTTGGAGGACAGAGCAAGACACTGTCTCAAACAAAAACAAAAACAAAACAACAAAAAAAGAAGCTGACAGCCCTCAGACATACCTCTACTCAGTCCTAAGCAGCTACTAGCAAGTGAGCTTCTGCTGGCTCTATTAAGGGCATGAAAGCCTGATTTTAATCTCATGAAGAAAGGACAGAGTAAGGACAGAGCACAGCACTCAGCATATGAAAAGTTGAGGAAGCTATAGTGAGAATAGTCTGTTTTTCCTCGGTGCAGTGGCTTCAGCCCCCTTCTCCTCCCTCCCAACCCACTTTCAGCACCACACTCCCATCTGCTACGTGTGCTGCCTCAGACCTGGGCCACCACACGTTCTCTTTTCACTCCCTCTCAGGAATTCTACTTTTACTATACAGTAATGTTTGATGGGAGTGTTTTAATAGTTGTTGTTATTGTTTTATTATGAATTTAGCTTCTAGTTCATCACAAGGAAGACTACTTTCCCAAGAAAACTTCAAGTGCAGGCTTTAGAATCAAACCTAAGTTTGAAGGTTAATTTGATCATTTATTAGCTATAAGACCTTGGGTAATTGATTCTCTGAGTTTCAGTTATTTTCAATCTATAAAATGGAAATGATAATATCTACCTCGAAAGGTTTTGTGAGGATTAGATGTGATCATAAAAAGAATGTTCCTGAAAATTGGAAGGTGCATAACAAATATTCGTTTTCTCCCCCTTTGGATAAAACCTATCTTTCAGACCTGCACTGTCCAATATGGCAGCCGCTAGCCACATGTAGCTGTTTAAATTTAAATTAACTAAAAGTATTTAAAATTAAAAATTCAGGGGCCTTTTTTTTTGTTCCACTAGCAACATTTCAAGTGCTGAAAGGCCACATATAGCTATTACATACCTTGTTTGTACAGCACAGATGTGGAGGCCAAAGCAATTCCATCTTGGATGCTAATCTGCCATGTTAGCTTCTGATTAACTGCTGTTCCAGGAAGGCCTCTAAGAGTTCCAATTGTTCCTTGTGTAACAGCAAGTACTTACTGTAAATCCTGCTCTTGGGTCAAACAATCTTGATGTTATTGTAGATCAATTGTTCTGCACATCCCTTCTGCATCATGTATAGCCTTTCCCTATGGTATATAAGCCCTGGATGGGGGGGTAATAGCATGGGGATCCATCATCTTGTCCCACTGTCACCCAAGACACAGACATGGCTTCTGTTTGTAAGTCTCTATTAATTGTTTCTTTCTCAGAAAACAGATTTGTCAGCCTCTTTCTTCAGCCTCTTAGCTTTCTCAGACTTTGGAGTAGGTTTACATAGACCTGCCCATGGCAGAACAACAGATAATACAACATTTTCATCATTGTAGGAAATTCTCATGGGCAATGCTGATATACCACTAGAGCCTGCTTAAATGCAGCTACAAGGAAGATGAGAATCATCCATGAAGCCCACTGGCCAGGTAATGAGATGCAAAACACATGCCTTTCTTTATTGGTGTCTACTCCTAGGAAGAAAGGGACCAAAAAAAGAGAGAAGATGCTCAGGAATCTCAAAATAAGCCCACCCTTACTCAGCAATTTTGCTGAGGATGAGCAGGTTCCATTAGTCTTTAGCTCTGTGTAACCAAATAAAGCCATCCGAGGTTGTCAGGCAAAGGCATATTTGCCATAAGTTTTATATATTATTCACTCACAGCTTTTAGACACTGACTTGGTCAACTTTGAATTCATTTCCCAAACAACCTGGGCTAAATTAAGCAACACGGAAGAGCTATGAGGCAGGGAGCCTTTTGAGATCATCTAACCCATCATCTCAGACTTTGAAGTTGCCTTTTATCTTAATTGCCATGCCTAGGCCAGCCTGCCAATAAATGCCATCTGATGCCTATGGTCTCCAGGTCACTGGTTCAGATCATGATTTGTTTAAGCAGGAAAAGCAAGAACATGATGGGCCACAGGGTGTGGTTGTGCAGTCTGTGCACTGTACAAGTCCATAAGATGCCATTTACAATGTTATCATTATAAATGCATATATTATTCTGACAATTTCCCAGAAAATAACAATAATGTATTAAGAAATGGATGGCTTTCCTTAGCTTTCACAAAGGTACTTTCTACATTAGCTGCAGGGGTGAGTGAGTGGTTCACTCTGAAGCTAAAGGACAGAAAACAGACAAAGATGTTGAAATCTTTAAACTAGGGGAATTTCAGCATTGGGGTCCAAGAATGTTCTGTGTATCCACAGAAGTCTTTGTTCCAACAGCTGCTAGAGAAATTCTGCCTCATGATTCTCTAGACCGGATCAGCCTTGCTCTCCGGTTTTAGAGATTTTCGCTAGTTCTGACCAGATTCCAATACCAACACAATGGTTCTCAAGCCTGGCTCTCTATTCATCTGGGGAGTTTTGTTGTTGTTTTTTTAATCTGGTTTTAAACCCTAGTTCACACTAATAAATCAGGATCTCTGTGGGTGGAGCCCAGGAAACAGTATTTTGTGAAAGTGTCTAATGTCTGCGGGGTTGAGAACTGCTCCTCTGGCGTATGGAAAAAAAAGAAAAGGATGGAAAATGGGACTCTGATGTCCTAAGCCTGGAGTAAATTGTTAAATAGAAGAAAGCTTCTTAAAAGTATTCACGCAGGGCTTTCAGTCATTAAGACCAAAAGATAATGGAAAACATAATTTAAAAAAAAAAAAAAGCAATGTAATCTAGTATTCACAATTGTGGAGTGGGTCTTCATCGCTCAATTGAAAAGTTTAGAACTGCACCACAAAAGGTAAAGAAATAGCATCAATCTTTATTGATAAACTGCTCTGGAATGCTCAAACTGACCTCTAAAATGTTAGAGGAAGTGAGAAAGGAAACGAAGGAGAAGAGAAAGAGGAAGCTAGGCCCATTTAAGAACAGAAATTCACCCCTCAGCTAAGTGCTGTATGTAGCAGCATCCCACAGCCCTATCTCAGGAAGAACAGGGCTCACTGTGATCGGAGGTATAAGTGGCATGACCACAGGGGAATCTAAGGCTATCTTCCAAAAACTATGGCTTCATTATTTAGAAGACCTCAAAATTACCTGCTAAATAAACAAATGTGACCTATGCTAGCTTGTTTTAGGTGATAACTGCTTAGTCATGTTACTCAGTTCAAGAGTGTTCTCTGAGTCATGGTTTATACTAAATTCACATTCAGATCTAAGACAGCAAGTCCCCTTGAAACCTCCCTGGAATTAAATCTTCCCTGCCAATCCTTCCTGTGCCATCTCAAATGTGAGTCAGTGCTTTGCTGTCTTCTTTTGCCACCCTAATTTAGCAAGAAGTGTTCAGAATTCCCAGAAAAGCAGACATTCTAACTGGTTCTTAGTAAAAGAGCCAATCTCATAAATGTATGCTGTATTTTCAAATACATGCTCTGAATCTAAAAATACACTTCCACTTTGCATTCATGTACAGCTGTGTCGACCAAAGATAGATGCTAAAAAAATTGGGAATAAAAACATACTTTCCCCTTCCTCTGTTTTTACTCATACATATTTTTATAGCTTTCAAAGCCCAGTTCACCTCTCATATCTTCCATTAACTTTTCCCAGCCCAAAGTAACCTCTTCCCACTTGGGATTTATCTTGTCTGACCTTCTCATTTAGTACTTATTTGTATATTGTATTATGACACCTCCCTTAGTCATTTTATAAGATTAACTCATCATATAAGATTGTATTTTTCACCTGTTATACTCTTCAAATGTGGCCATGGTGTATAGTGCATAGGGGAAAAACACATATGCTTTATAGCATTCACTAAATGTTAGATGAATTCATTATGAAACAGTATAACTTCATAAGCCAATTTTATCATATCTATGCTATTAGGAGAGGACAAAGTAATATGTCAAGATATCAGATAAAGTGACCTGGTTTTCTCACAACTGTAGGACCCAAATGTCATGCATCCCTGAATTCCTTTAATGTGTCATGTACCAGAAACATGGTGGGGGGTGGGTCTCCAATGCTTCACAGGTAGAGGCATGTGCCTCTAAAGAAAAATTTTGAAAGGGTGAGGAGGAACGCTGCCAACTAAACTATGACATGCCATTGATTACAAGACACATTTGATTTCAAAGATGTTAAAATGTGAAAAAGCATTTATCTTAAAATGGTTGAAATGTGATCAATGACTATGATTTTTTCAAAATGAAGGTAATAGTAATAAAAGGTAGAAACCTCATTAATGAAAATATTATCATAAATCACAGAACAATTTTTCTGAAACAGAGGAGGCATAGCTTAGACCTGCCTCTGAAACAGTGAGCAACAGACCAAACCCACGATCATGTCCAGGTCTGATAATGGCCTATGATACACCAAGTACCCACTTACACTCTCAGAAAGTGAACTATTGAAAAGAAACCAAAGTTACGATGTCATGGCCTTTACTTCAAGAGTGCATGAAAGTTGCAAAATGAAGCCCTGAAAGAATACAGTAATGTGAGTTTCCTTTTTCTTTTTTTTTCAAAAAAATGAGGTGGCTAAGCTGTTACTCACCATGAATCCTTATGCAGCATACTTACAAGGTGGTCCATGCTGAGCCTTTAGTGGCTGGAATCTGCCTACTCATGATCACATTCTACAAACCTGTTAACCACTTCCTTTGCATGACTTTGTATGAAATTTATCACACAGAGTTTTTAGTATGTTTAGTGTGTACACGACTGTGGATGGCAAAAAGAGTGCGCCTTGTGCGCCGCTGTGTTTTCCTGGATGCCATGCATAGTGCCTTACCCATAGTGAGTAAGCCCTCGGAGAACTGTAAAGAATACATGAACAAAGAACTGACCAAAGGGAAAGCAGTGTTATCACTTAGTTCTGGGGTCAGCAGTTACCAATGAATCAATAAAGAACAATGCATGAAATTGCTGCTGTGCAGAATGTTAGTCAAACGAAGGGTGAGTAGTGGGGTTCTTAGGAGAAGGCTCATGAGAATGTCTTCCCTGGATTTACTATCCCTATCTGGCTTTGAATGGAGTGCAATACCAAACAATCCTTTTAAACAACTGATGTCAACATCAACGTCAATTCAGCAATCTTGCCTTTTATCCTTTCCATCCCAAGATATCCCCACTTTATTTAACAATTCAGTATAATCTAATAGATATATTTAAGCCTCCCAAGTGAAAACATTTCTTTTTTTTCCAACCAAGATGGATGTTTAACCTTGCTAAGATTCCTGCATATTATTTGTAATGCATTTGATCAGAACCCAATAGAGTTACAGAGATCCCTCTACACATGCACACTGGCAATGTTGAGCAAGTTTAAGATGACTCTAGAACTGCTTTGATGTATATTAACAGGAGCCCAGGAACCTTCTAAACTCAGATAAAGATACAAATTAATTTTGCTCTTGCCCCCAGAACTCTCTTCTTCATCAAGACCTGCACCTAAGCACAGGGAGAAACAGCCCAGAGGCAGTAAAGATCCACCCAATTGCTACAGATGTGTTCCTCCCAGCAGCACTGCAGATGCTGCTGCGTTATCTCCTTCCTGCTTCACAATGAATCACAGCGCCATCTGGGCCATCTGTCTTATGAATGCACAAGGGAAAAGAAGACGACGTCATGCAGACCTGCACCATGTCTCATGCATGGAAAAGAGACCATAATCTGCCAGTGTCATCAATTAAATAACCAACAGGTCCTGGATTCCTGGTGCCCCTCCCTGTGCTGGCCCGTTATGATGTGGGTTTCTGCAGAGGGAATACAACATTAGGCTTAGATTAAATAATAACAGGAAAATAATAAAGAGGTTGTATATACTATTATTATATTTATGTATTTTATCATGTATTTATATATAGTCATGTGTCACCTAATGACATTTCGATCAACTGCATATATGACAGTGGTCCCATAAGATTATAATATGATATTTTTACTGTACCTTTTCTATGTTTAGATATGTTTAGGTACACAAATACTTAGCATTGTGTTATAACTGCCTACAGTATTCAGTACAGTAACATGCTGTACAGATTTGTAGCCTAGGAGCAATAGGTTTTATAATATAGCCTACCCACATAGCAGACTATACCATCTAATTTTGTGTAAATACAAAATATGATGTTAGCACAATGACAAAATTGCCTAATGACACATTTCTCAGAATGTATCATCATTAATAAGCAAGGCATAACTGTATATTTATATAGTATATATATATATTACTGTATATTTATATACTGTATATTTATATATTTATATACCGTATATTTATATCACACAAATATACTGTATAAACTGTATATTTATATAGTATATATTACATATTACATATAAACACATAAATACTGTATAAATTATATGTTTATATAATATATATGTAAGTTTATATATAATATGTAATATATACTATGTAAATATAAATATACAGTTCTGCCTTGATTATTGATGGTGATACATTTATATACATAAAAATTCTCCTTAACCATGCTCTGAGAAACAGAGTTCTGAGAGATGAGAATAGATACTGCTTGCTAATGATCTGGAAATGCTACATGCCTTATCCTTTCTCAGTCAGAATGCTCTCTTGCACATTTAAGTCTCTTAGAAATCTTGTTCCAAAAAAGTTTAAACCTATTTAACAGAGGGTCCCAAAGACTTTATTTTGTAGCACACTTAACTGTAAAAGCATAGCACAGAACACCAGATTTGAGGAACGGAACCCTAAAGTAACCTGAATTTCTTTCTTCACAACTCAAGTCTAACTAAAGTACAGCCTTAATTATGGGCTTATATATATTATCCTTGGGAAATGAGCATCAAACTTGTGAGAATCAAGCCACAGTCTCAAAATTAGACCAGGCCCTTTTCTGTAAAGCAGTTACTCAAATTGTAACATGAGTTAAAACTCTAGGTTCCAAAATTTTTCAGACTTCATGACTTCATTCAGGAATCCTAAAAACAACTGTGGTCATCATCCATTAAAAATGCAACTTTCATAGTGTTCCACAGACAAGACAAAAAAAAAGTTATTTGGACTGACCTGGTTTTATTACTGCCCTAACAGTAAATATGTAAATAATTTAAACCAAGCAAACACATACACTAAGCATAATAAAATTCATCGTCATTGCTGCTTTATCAAGGAAAAGAACTCTGAGAAACTTGTCAAATAAATAAATGATCTGTGCCTTTCCTTGTCACTTTTCGTCTTTTCAGCAAGTTTAATAAATAAAATTGATGGTTTTGGGAAGAGTTTTAGGCCAGCTATTCCAATTGTAACATTCCTTTACCTAAATATCAGTTAACCACAACATTCCAAGCTTTGAGGCAAAAGCTGTTTCCTGCATTTATTTTGACACATATCATGAAGCAGCATCGATAAAGTTCAACCCAACAGCCCTGGCTGGAGTTTCTCCTGAAACATGCCTGCTATTTACTTTTTACTTTTCTTTGCCTCCCTTCTTCCCCCTGCCAACCCCCATCCGCTCCAGAATATGAGTCATTAAGCTTATGGTAGGAAAATAAATTATCTTCGTTTTTTAATCATTTGATGCTTGCAACATAAGCTACAAGGAAATGCAACTTTTAATCCACCCAAAGATTTTAAGTAGGATTAAGAATAACTGAAAAGACTTAGACATGAGCAAATATGCCCGACAAAGGAGAATAAAAGTGAGAATAGGCTGTAATACTTTTAGCAATATAAAATTCCAGCTCTGGATACAGATTTAAAAAATAGTGTTTTAATGGGAAATTCTTAAAGACAGAAATTTTTTTAAAACCCTCAATCTTCACCTATTCCAAAATAAAATCAAATATTCCTGATATCAGAAACTCTTCTCCTGTCATACATCAGTCCATGTCTACTTTGTAACTAACATGATAACTCTGGGCAAGATTTCAACCACTGTCCCTGGAGTAAAATTCAAAGCACATTTTAAGAAAATGTACATACATAGCCACCTTTCTCTCTCAAGAGCTAAGTAATAAATTACTCCTGAATATAGGAACCACTTTTTAAAATGTAGACATGGAAGTAGGAATTAAATAAGAAAGGAATATTGCAAAGATAGATACAGATTGCAATAAGCTATTAGAATTAGAATAAGCATTGAGAGAAATAAAAGCTACTTGAAGAAAAGAAAATTAGAAGTCAAAAGAGAAAAGGTATGGAATTTAGTTTCTATTCCTGCTCTTTGTGAATTACTTTAGTCTTTAGATTAAGACCTTTATTGTTTCTGTTTGCATTTTGTTTCTGAAATAAGTAATAACATAAAGTCACTGAAATAATATTCTAAGACATACTAGAAGAAGAAAATATATATGGTAGTTTTGTGCCCTGGAGAAAGTAAGAGGAGTAGGTCAGTATATGAATATTTCCATGAAGCAACTGGGAAGATCATGACATTCTATATATGCTGTCTCCAAGGTTTTGTCTCTCACCCTAAATTAGGTCAGAGATAAATACTTAAAATCCATTAACATTCAAATAAGAACTGAAAATCATATTTAAAAAATAATTAGAGTTCACAGCAACAGTTTACTGTGCTAACCCACCCCATCCCACCCCAATCCCAAGGAATGTCTGTGACTTGCCAAAAGAAAAGTGAATTTCTCTCTTTTTTTTTAACCACTGGGCACACATTCCCTAGCCTCTCCTACAAAATGCTAGAGGTAGATAAAATGACTTTGATAAGGTATGTACCAAAGTAGGCGAAATTTTGTAGGATTCCTTGGAAATAAAATATGCTACATCATATCTCTTGGTTTTACATTTTGGATATTCAAATTATTACATTTCAAATACATTCAACTGGGACAAATGCAATATTTAAAAAATCTTTAATCTCCAAACAATATTTATTTTCCTTCTTTTCCCTTCCTTTGTCAAATTATTAAATAATAATAATAGAATGATGCCAGTAATATTTAGTGTTTATGTACTAGGCACTATGTAGTTGTGCAAACTAGATGAGACAGTCTTCATTACACTTTGTCACACTAGCCAGAATCTCCATTAGATACTGATTTGGAAAATGTGAATAACACAAGCCATTAACTTTGTACAAGCAATTAGCTTAATTTGATTACTTTGCTCTCCAACAGAAGTGAAAATTTCTAGCAAGTCTCAACCTTGGCTGCTCGTTATAACCCAGGGATATTTCAAAAACAATACCAACGCCTGGGTCCCACCCCCAGAGATTTTATGGTTTTGGAATAGCCTATTTTGCAAGCTCCCCAGGTGATCTTAGTATGTGCCAGGTTTGTGCCAAGTTTGATAACCACTGATCCAGACACCCTCTCCCTCCTGTGAAGAGAAACAAATACAAGTCATTTCCTGACTATATCCATATTTTCAGGTTTTAGCCCTGGATAGATTAAACTCCATTGCAATGGACTATGTAAAGAAAGCTAGCAACCACCACAAAATCTACTTTGTGATGAAAAATGAAAATGGTGTGAAAAGAAAGTTTAAAATAAAGAAGACTAAAATGTCTCTACTTTTGGTTATTTTTTTAAAAAAGTATCTGGCCTCTTTAGAACACAGGAGATATGATCCCATTTTCTTAAATAATCCTTTAAATATGACTTGATGTTTTGAAATACACACTTCTTAATAGCCCATATGTGTTTACCAAGTCCGTAACAGCTGGCAAATGATAGGAATTAAACCTTAACTGTCAGACTCCAGTCATTCTGTTACCACTAAATTTTAGTCCACGAAGGAACCAACAAACTCACTTGCTATTTCTCTTCATCCCATTTTATCAATAGTTCAGATCTGCAATGCATGAATCAACCGGGATGAACTTCCTGTATTTTAGAAATCTAGGTCAGAACATTATCATTACTGAAAGAGGTTAAAAATAGACTTCACCTAATGTTGTTATAATACAACTTCATATATAAATAATTCATTCATTAAAATGTGAAGCTTATCAAGAATTGACATTGAACTCTTTTTGCTAACAGCTTTCTGTGCAATCCAAACGGGTTGCTTAAACTCTGTGAGCGTCAATTTCCTCAGTTTTAAAATAGGACTGTTAATACCTACTCTAACTCCCTTGAGATTTTGGTATAAATTCTGGGCACTTGAAGAACTTCAAAAAACAATGCAAAGGTAAGTTAATCAATAGTCATTTAGTCGTAAGTTTTGTGAGGGCAGAAACAACTTCTCATAGATTTTTGCACACTCAGAATTTAGCTCAGTGCCAAGCATATAGTAGGTACTAACTGAATGAATACTATTCATTAAAAAGATGAGCGAATGAATGAATAAACAATAGTAATTGAAATTCACAGAAAACATAGTGTAATGACTAGGAGGTAATAGTAAAAATGCATTCTTAGGCTTTTTCCTTTCCATCACCAAAATTACCATTGCCTTTAGGAAATCAGTAATTGTATTTTGGATCATATTTTTGCCACTTCTTCCTTTAGGCCAGTGGAGAAACTGCTGAATAGAAGTCTCCAGTGACTGTCAGATAAAATTCTGCCAGAGTTAAATAAGAGTATGGAGAGGTCAGACACAATTTGCACTCATCTACCTATTCCTAGAGTGTGGCCTTACATTTCATTCTTGTCTATTTCAGAAAGACAAGCCTTTGGGAAACCAGATAGATGAGTTTACAGGATTTCAATTCTAACTGAACGTAAAGATTGAGAAATAATAGAAAAAGTATAGTCTTTAATTTGGCCTTGTAGGTGATGTTAATTGTCAGCATTCTTAGTGCTGAGACCATTCGTTAACTATTGAGCCCTGAGAATCAACCACTAGAGTTTCTTCTCTAGGATTTTTGGGGAAAAGTCAGTTACTAATTACATTACCTGTACTCATAAGACTTAGTCAACAAGGCCCTTGATTGCTTTTATCACTGACATCTGGCTATCAACTATACTTGAACTAGCTAGGTCTGGGCTTCTCTGTGGCCAGAGTGTGTACATTAGTTGATGTCTGTGATATACCAATTACTTTTCTTATCTCATCTCTTTTCACTTTCAGAGACCAGGTGCAAATTTCCACAACTCCTTGTAGATCAAGCATGCATTTTCTTTGGTTTTACTTATAGTTATTCCTAAATAGCTATGTAGGGGAGGGAGGAATCTCATCCTTCCAGTGAAATCTGCGATCTTTGGGGCAGAAAGAAAAGTTAACAGCAAAGTGGTTAGATCAACTTGTAGGTGCTATGCTTCCCAGCGAGACTCTATACTACACTTGAATAATTTCTTAAAATATCAATGGCACTAAATACATGTTTAATAAAGAACTTTATACATGGACTTACACCTTCCTAAAATGTTACAACTATGCCACTTAACTGATAGGCATTTTAGTAAATCACATCCTTATGAAGAAATCAGCCCAGCCGAAGCTGGTTTATGGACCTACTACATTTGCAGATTTGTAGATTTACAGTGCAGAACAGAAAGCAGTCCAGGAAAAAGGATGCTTTCAACTTTTATCAGGTAAGGACCCTTGGTAAATATTAAGATTATTGGCTCTGAGCTTACATGAGTTGGATGAACAAAGCTTTGCCCAAGTAAGGGCTTCTCTGTACCTTTTCTGTACCTTTGTACCTTCGTACCTTTGTATCTCTGTACCTCTGTACCTTCTGTACCTTTGTACCTCTGTACCTTTTCTGTACCTTGTACATGAATTGAACGAACAAGCTTTGCCCAAGTAAGGGCTTCCCTGTACCTTCTCTGTACCTTTTCTCTGATATTTTAATTAATCAGCATCTTTTTCTAGAAGTCAACTTTCCAGAGACAGATGTAGTCCTATTCTACTCTTCAGGGTTTTCTTCTATCTAGACTATTGCTAAAGTAGAGAAGCCGCATTTCCAAAGGGGATATTTAAAGAGGACATCCTGATGCAGACTGCTGTTGCCTACCTTATATCTAGTCTGCCCTTTCAGCTTATTAGTAGAATCCTGCTTTTATTCACAATAGCAAGAAAACCTTGCTTAAAAACTATAATTCCTTGCTTTCCTTACATTAGGATTGAGCATGTGATGCAATTCTGACCAACAAGAAGTAAGCAGGAGTTGTCATTAATGTGTCCAGAAGAGCTCCCTAACAGGGAGGCAGACTCAGGAGGCTGCACCCTGTTGCCTTTTGCCCTTATCATTTCTCCTGCCTGGAATGGGAACAGAATGGGAACACAACAACTGGAGTGACAACAGTCACCTTCAGAGCCTGAGGATAAGAATTGCATCTTCAGGATGACACAGAGAAGAAACCTAGAAGGTCCTGGGGCCCTGATGAATTTGCTGGGTCACCACATTGGCTCTGGCTTGTCTAATGCAGGATTTATTTTATCTGGGAGAAAAATGAACACCCTTTTTTATATAAAGCCTTTAGTTTGGTGATCTCTGTTACTTGCAACTAAATAAAATTTCTAACTGAAATAAGTTCAGTTCCAAAGTTCATCAATCACAACATAAGAGAACTTGAAATCATGTCATTTGAGAAAGGGTGAAGGAACTGTGGATTTATGTTTGGGAAGTGAAGGGAATGGAGAATACTAGAAAATAGCTATATTCAGATATGTAAGCCACTAACATATGGAGAGCCACAGAAGCCAAACCAGGAGGATAGGTGAAAGCAGGAGAAGCAGATGTCAGCCCAACCTAAGATATCTTTCCAATAACCAGTTCCGGCTTCTCATGGGTAGGTTGCTATCGCTAGAAGGGTTCAAGCATAGGATGAATGCCAAATCTATGGGAATATGGTAGAGGAGATTAAAACATTGAATGAGGCAGTTGGCAGTAGTGACATTTACTTAAAATTTCCACACCCAACACAGTCTATGAATCTATGAGTTCCTAATGCCTAATATTCATTTCTGTTTGATAGAGTGAATATTGATTGTGTCCCTGTGAAGTGGATTTTATTGCTTTGCTGTGTTTATTGTGTTTAATCTAGCTAACTTTTATGTCACTTGTAGGCCTCTTTCAAAAATGACTGACTTTTCAGTTAGTTTTGGAAATGTCTTCAATTTGTCCAAATTTATATAGAAATGATGGGCTTGTTTGCAGTTGGGACAACCTAAGTGGTCGTTATAGATACTTGTTGCCTCTTTACTATGTGCAGGGCACTGAGCTACATGCTTTAAATTGAATATCTATAACTTTGCAACAATCCTATGAGGAAAGTAGTATTATTATGTCCTTTGCCAAAGAAGAAAAATAAGGCACAGAGAATTTAAATCATTTTTCAAGATTATATGACTGGGAGTAATGCCAAAGTTGGCACTCAGCAGATTCCAGAATCCCTGCATGAGCAGACTAGATCCTCCATGCCTAGTCTATATCTGGCTTTAAAGAAGCATATCCACCTAAACATCAGCTAAAGGTACTATAAAATCAAATTAAAAATAATGACGGCAGATAACCTGTCAATTTTAAATATTTCTCCACCAATATTTTCTTCTTTCATGTTCAATGTAATTTTATCCTTGTCTCTAAATATCACCCCATGACATACAAATCTGGAATAATACAGGTTAAAATAGCATGTAGCAACTATGTGACAAAGGTCATATATTTAGTCCCTAGTGAGGGATTATAAGGCCAATCTTTCTCCACAAACAGCTATAAGTACCTTCAGAAGGTAGAGAAGCCCCAACAGAAGGCCAAACCTTCTCCTAACAATACATGAGTAGAAGCATGACCACTGATTAGAAAATCTTAAAAGCATTAACAGGCAATAATTTTTCATAATACATCTGACAACAAAATTAAGAAGCCAAACATTGACTCAATATTTCATAAACAAAACACGTCTTTTGTAAAGGATCCAAACTTTTCTCTTAGAACTTTGCTAACACACAACTATGAATATGTAAAAGTTGGCACATTATAATATTTCATTGTGAATTATTATCCATATGGTCTCATTGGCATTTAAAATTTGTCCTTTAAAAGCTGAAATGACTGCCTAATTGTTTTTACAAAAGTTACTGACATTACAACAAATTAAACATTAATTATCGAGCATCTTTTTACTCTAACCCATTTCTATCTGGTTTTAGTTTTAAGTCTTTTGGAGTTTTATCCCATCTTGCCACTTATTCCTGTATATTCTTATTCTTTCCTTCAAGCTGATTAGTAATGCTAAACTCAGGAGCAGAACTTTGAAATTACTGCCTTTAAACACACCCAAATATATGGCACACGTTTCATCTCCCTTTGGCACAAAAGCCTAGCGCATTCCGCCCCTCTCACCATGGATACTATCTCATTTAGCTCAGTCCAAACTGTGCTGTCTGCAGAGACTGAAAGCCTGTTGGGTCATTAAAAGAGATTTCCCTCTCTTTACACTCAGCCAGTGTGCATCAAGTGGTTTAAATGAAACACACTTTCAAAAAGGGTCCAAGAGGGACAAAGAGCAAAGGGGAGAGAGAGAGAAAGAACAATAAGATTTGTAGAAATAACTAAAGGGGAGGCCAAGAATGCTTGGTGACAACCAGCATTTTCGGTAGGTGTATTTATGGTGTTAATAGCAAAAAGCAGAAAGCCAAGATGAAGCCCTTCTCACTGACCTCAAAGGTATACTTGGCTGAATATATTACCTGTAAGCAGTGGCTCTGCCTGTCCCCACCGAGTGGCTACTGAGGGCTGAGGCTATAAGCCAGGAATATTCTTCCTCTTGTACCCAAGCAGTGCATCTCTGCACATGGCTGCTCTGTGGCACCAACATCTTCCCTGGGAAAGCAGCCAGAAGGGTGGCAGTTTTCTTTGGAGACTGGGCATTAATTAGGTATCCTTTGCTTCTATAAGATAACACTGTAGATGCTTTTCTTTGCACTGATTATCAGCACACAGAAAAGGCTTGTGTTTCTCTAAGCTACCGACCAGCCAAGGGTTTGTATTGCTGTGATAGCTGCCAAGTGATTTTCTGGTAGAGAAATAAAATGAGAGGAAGGAGAATTCAAGTCTCTTCCTGCTGTAACTCAGGACCCAGTATTGCTGATATCCTTAGAGGGAAAGAAAAAGTCAGTGTTCTGACTTGCACTTGCTCCCCATTCCAGCTGGGCAGTGCTTCTTTTCTCTCCAGTTTGAACATGTTACACGTCAATCTGCTGACACTCATGCACAAAAGCTCACTCCAAGTTTGGTGCTACGCACATGAACTCTGGAGTTACTCAGAACTAACTGCTCCAACCACTTAGAGTCCTGTGAAACACAGCCATGCACCAGTAAGCAAGGCAAGCAAGTAAACAAAGCCTTCTAGGCAGCCAGAATACACATCATGACATGCATAACCCAAAGTTGGAACCCTCACTCCCAGGAGACTGCCAGACTTCTGCCCAGAATCCAACTCACTCCAATTAAGACCTCATTCTATGTGGTTTGGCTATTTAGTACCACCGCCTGCAAAGATTAGAAACAGAAAAATAAAGGAATGTGTGTTGCCCAGTCAGACATAGTGACAGTGCTACGGGACAGCTGGCCCTTAAGAAAGAGACAGAGCTTATGGCACCACACAGGCAAACCAAAACCAGTCAAACCCCAAATAAAATTCATAGAAATAAATGATCTATATACTTAATGACTTTCTTGATATATTGTAGAATACAGTAAAATAAACCATATTTGTAATCAGACTTCCAAACCATGAAGAAAAATACAAATGTTTAATGCTTGCTATGAAAAGAAGTGGAGTTTTAACACTCATTTAAAAAGTTTTGATCCTTCCATAGGTTAATTCCCGTTTTCTAGAACCTCTATTAATTACTAAAATTATTATACTTCAATATTTACCTTTAAGGTACATGGTCACTTATCTAGCTACCTAATAGTTGGCCAGATCGAAGCCAAGCCAGGAAATGTGAAAGTGGGTGAAATATGTCAAATTCAAATTACTGGGGAGTGAAGCTGGCAATTTGAGGGGAGGAAAGGAGACTTAAAAAGGTAGATGTACTGAGAAACTTGCTTCCAATTACTCTCTTACTCTTCAAGAACACATTGGTACCAGTTCTTGTACCCTGCAAGCTAGCAACTGTGCCAGTGGAGTGAGAAAGGTGGGCTATTTCTTCTTCATAAAGGACTTAGAATGCTCGTTCACAATTCTAGCTGATCCTCAGAGCTGCTTGTTAAGAAAACAGGTTTCCGCTTTGGCTCACGCCTGTAATCCCAGCACTCTGGGAGCTGAGGCGGGCAGATCACAAGGTCAGGAAATCGAGACCATCCTGGGTAACACAGTGAAACCCCGTCTCTACTGAAAATACAAAAAGAAATTAGCCGGGCATGGTGGCGGGTGCCTGTAGTCCCAGCTACTCGGGAGGCTGAGGCAGGAGAATGGCCTGAACCCCGGAGGCGGAGCTTGCAGTGAGCCGAGATCGTGCCACTGCACTCCAGCCTGGGCGACAGAGCAAGACTCCGTCTCAAAAAAAAAAAAAGGAAGACAGACAGGTTTCCAGGATCCACCCTTGGATATGCTAGTTTGGAAGGTTTGGTTGGGATGCTGGAGTCTGTGTTTTTTAAATCTCTGCCAAGTTTGGAACCTCTGACCAGGGATGCTATGGTTTTGAGAGGTTCTCTGAGTGCCTGGGCTTCTCAGTTCAACTACCTCTACCTTCAGGATTTACAATCACCTGCCTCCTCAATCCAAATGGTAGTTGGTGCTGCTTCTGGGATACACTTAGATTCAGCCGGGTCCTGCGCTGTGAACACACAGAGTTCATTCTCCCATATAAGACCAGTCAGCCTCATAGCTAGCACCCTAAGAAGTTCAAAGACATTAAGACAGAACAAGAAACAATAACATTTGCCGTAAGTCCCCCCAGCTGCATGGATTTTCCAAATACAATCTCACATAGACCAAGTCTTTAAACTAAAACTAATCATCAGTAATGGATTTGAATATGCAGAACCTTCCTGCATGTGTAGAACCAAAGCCTAGTTATGCTTCTTTGGTATTTCAGCCTGCCAGTGTCTACTCACTATTTGTTTTTTTTTTTTTTTTCCATTACACAGAGAGCAAACACTGATAGCCCTGAACACACAGAAAATTTCTTCTGTGTAAACTAAGTAAACTCTGTTGTCAGTGGGGCAAATTGTTAACCTCTTCCCTTCTATTGCTTAACAGGGAGAGTATATAGTGTGAAACTAAGGGAAGGAAAAAGATAAAAATTTACAGTTTTCTGTACACTCCTATGAGATCCCTGTTATGAGTGTTAGAACAGTTAAAGATAAAGTGGTTGCCAGCTTTGACTATAGATGCTCTAAAAGTTTCCACACAACCATTACTTTCTAGCTCCTTGGAGGCTAGTATTGTGGTTATTTATCTCTGGCTCTGCACAAGTGTGTCTAAAACCTTACTGCCAGTATTGATATATTCGGGACTCTATCCAGTTTTTCTTCAGCAAAGAAAAAACTTTTACACTTTTGCTGCATAGCATAAACCTAAAATTTAATGAACTAAAATTCTCTAGAATTTAGAAAGTTTTCTAAATATGTCATAGTATGAATGTATGTGATTTGAGTAGGATGGACTGGGGTTAAGGGAACAAAAAGGAAGGAAGATTTTTTGTAGTCTGTTTAAATAAATTGTGAGTGGATTACCTCTACTAAAAAGAGGAATAGTTATAATTGCTTTTGATAGACATATTTTAGATTTAATCTAAATAATCTACAAAAGTTCTTTGCTCCGCATGCCATTTTGCCACCTCACTCTAAAACATATCCCCTAAGGCTATATTTACCCACACTCATGAATATCTTAATTACCCACAAAGTCACTCAATAAATATTTAATGAAATAATGAATAGACGCCACTTAAAAATTTTCACACCACTTAAAAATTAACATCCCAAGTTTAGAAACAAAAAGAATTTTACAATTTAAGAAAATGAAAATGTGTTATAGTAGAAAAAGTGCAGGCTTTGTAGTGAGCAGAACTGGGCTGGAATTCTAGTTAGCTGATAACTAATGAACAAGCCTCAACCATTCAGCTTTCCCGTGTATAAAATGGGGTAAATATTATTTACAGACTTGCTATAAAGATCAGAAATAATATCTGTGAATCTCCAAATAATGTCCGGTATCTATAATTTTGGTGGTGATGATGAGTTTTCTTAAAGAATTAATGCTACTGTGAAACAGCTATTTATTTCCATAATTTTTCATTTTCCAACTTTTTCTGTGTCGGATAATTCTACTATGGTTTTATTATTTTGCTTACCATATTTCCCAGAACAATACAACACTATATTTAGAAGGAATAAGAAATCATAATTCAAAGCAAAATACAAATAATTTAAAGTCTTGTGGAATATTACTTAATTGCAATGTTTGGAGCTTTCCTGAAATCTTCTCTTTATTTATCAAAATTATTGGATCTCAATAAATAGAAAGTCATTTTATTTATTGAGTGAATTTATTGGAAAGATACAAGGAAGCTCATAGAACTGGAAAAAATGCTTTATGATCAGACTTTGGGAAGAACAGAAACTACACTGCCCTGGGGATCAAGGTAGAGGAACTAAGGGAGTGCCTTAGGGCAGTGTGGTCAGAATATTCCAACTCTAGCCACTTTCTAACCTTAACGTCACTCTGCTTAAGAATAATAAGAGTGCACTCATGTACTGCTTACCCTATGCAGTAATGCTTCTAAATACTTTGCATGTTATTAACACACTTAATCCATACAATAGTTTTATGAGGTAGGTAATTCTCAGGAAAAGAACACTCTCATAGGTATGGCTTGAGTCAAGTGCTCATGCATTTGGGAAGGGGTACCTCATGTGATACTGCCATTAAGATAAGATGGAATAGGGAGAGGTCGGGGTAGTTTTACCCAAAGTAGGGTTAAATGAATCTGGGCAGAAAAAATCCGCAGATGTCCACAGACAAAATCCACTACATTTGATAAAACCCACATGCCTGACTCTGAGGGATGCATATCTCTATTTCTGGCGAGCAAAATATTTTTTATTGGTGGCATTCACTGACCAGCATTTAGAAAGTTCAGAAATAAAAAGCCTCTTCTCCAGAAACTGCATCTATATTTTTTCTCTTACTATATGTGGATAGAGATATAGCAGTACTTAAAGTAAATATGTGACTGCATATTGGTGCCATTACTAATAAAAGGAAAAATCATGTGTATTTAACCAAAAAAAATTTTAAAAATGTAAATTCAGTCAAGCTTAACTTTTCTGACTCCACAAAGTCTAGGAACCACAGAGGAAGAAAATTCTTCTTCCATTACCCTAGGATTAGTGAGCAAAACGTTCTTCAGTCTCTTGTAACAGCTTGGTAAAAAAAAAAAAAAATTCTCTATTGATTTGCTTAAATAAATAAAACTTCCATTGCCAGAGAGAAAAAAGGCATTTAGTTATGCTGAGTACTTCTATTTTTAAAAAATAATCCCAATGTTTGACCTGTAAAGAAAAAAAAAAAAAAACAGTTGCTGCTGATAAATCATCATACTATTATAATGGGAAGTACTTTGAGAAGGGTGGAAACCATACCTTATTTATCCTTATATGTGTTCTGCCTAACACAGAAATATAAGGAATGCAGCCAAGATTTATGTTACAAATTAAGGAATAAATTTTGAACGTATTTATAGAGTAGTCCCAGTTTTTATCATGCCACACTATCATTATTGCCATTTGATGTATCCAAAAAAGAAATATGAAGAAACCTCAATGATTTCAGCATATGCAAGAATAATACAAAAGTCACATAAAGCAGTTAGTATCCCTTAGGCTCAAAATGATGTTCATTCTTTGTTCAGTCACCAGCTATTTTTGACCATCTTTTATGGTCAAGTCAACAGGGCAATGTTAAAAACTGGAAATGTGAATCATAGCACAGATGCCTAACACCTCCTATTCTCAGATTTCCACTGAAATGTCGACAGGGTTATAAAAGACAAAAGAAAATCACCTTCAGATTTAGAAACTATGGAGACACCATCCACAAAAGAGAAACCTGGAGGAGTTTCAGTTATAAATAAAGTAGATCAGATAAAAAGGAAATACATAAAACCAGTCACCAAGGAACAACTCTCAAATTCTGCAGTACATAGTCTCTTAATTGGAGGGACAAGATCTGATAGCTGGAGGCTCCATGACAGCAGAGAGCAAACACACTTCTTTGGCTTCCATTTGCTGAGGGTGATCATCAGCATTTAAAAGAAGTATTTCAGCTGGACATGGTGGCTCATGCAGGTAATGTTGGCACTTTGGGAGGCTGAGGTGGGAAGATCACTTGAGGCCAGAAGTTTGAGACTAGGCTAAGCAACATAGCCACACCCTGTCTCTAAATAAATAAATAATTAATTTAAATATGTGAAAGTTAGCTGGGCTGAAACTGGATCCCTTCCTTACACCTTATACAAAAATCAATTCAAGATGGATTAAAGACTTAAACGTTAGACCTAAAACCATAAAAACCCTAGAAGAAAACCTAGGCATTACCATTCAGGACATAGGCATGGGCAAGGACTTCATGTCTAAAACACCAAAAGCAATGGCAACCAAAGCCAAAATTGACAAATGGGATCTAATTAAACTAAAGAGCTTCTGCACAGCAAAAGAAACTACCATCAGAGTGAACAGGCAACCTACAAAATGGGAGAAAATTTTCGCAACCTACTCATCTGACAAAGGGCTAATATCCAGAATCTACAATGAACTCAAACAAATTTACAAGAAAAAAACAAACAACCCCATCAAAAAGTGGGCGAAGGACATGAACAGACACTTCTCAAAAGAAGACATTTATGCAGCCAAAAAACACATGAAAAAATGCTCACCATCACTGGCCATCAGAGAAATACAAATCAAAACCACAATGACATACCATCTCACACCAGTTAGAATGGCAATCATTAAAAAGTCAGCAAACAACAGGTGCTGGAGAGGATGTCGAGAAATAGGAACACTTTTACACTGTTGGTGGGACTGTAAACTAGTTCAACCATTGTGGAAGTCAGTGTGGCGATTCCTCAGGGATCTAGAACTAGAAATACCATTTGACCCAGCCATCCCATTACTGGGTATATACCCAAAGGACTATAAATCATGCTGCTATAAAGACACATGCACATGTATGTTTATTGCGGCATTATTCACAATAGCAAAGACTTGGAACCAACCCAAATGTCCAACAATGATAGACTGGATTAAGAAAATGTGGCACATATACACCATGGAATACTATGCAGCCATAAAAAATTGATGAGTTCACGTCCTTTGTAGGGACATGGATGAAATTGGAAATCATCATTCTCAGTAAACTATCACAAGAACAAAAAACCAAACACCGCATATTCTCACTCATAGGTGGGAATTGAACAATGAGAACATATGGACATAGGAAGGGGAACATCACACTCTGGGGACTGTTGTGGGGTGGGGGGAGGGGGGAGGGATAGCATTGGGAGATATACCTAATGCTAAATGACGAGTTAATGGGTGCAGCACACCAGCATGGCACATGTATACATATGTAACTAACCTGCACATTGTGCACATGTACCCTAAAACTTAAAGTATAATAATAATAAATTTAAAAAAAATTCTTCCAGATAAATTTTAAGCACATAAAACAAATACATGCTTATCATATAAATAGTAGCATATTATACATTCTGATATTAGTACATAATAAATTTCATTCTGTATTGTAGCTGTATAGTATTCAATATGTGAATTAAGTATACTTTATCCATTTCCTTCCTAATAAACATTTATATGGTTTTCAATCCCTCTAATGTAGCAAATAGTTCTGTAGTGAATAATCTGGTATAAATGTCCTTTTGAAAGTATGTAAAATTATCAGTAAAATAAATTCCTAGAGTTAACTCACTGCATCAGAAAAAAAAAAAAAAAAAAAAAGAAAGTTAGCTGGGCAAGGTGACATGCACTTGTGGTCCCAGCCACTCAGAAAGCTGAGGCACCACAATTGCTTGAGCCCAGGAGTACAAGGCTGCAGTGAACTATGATCATGCCACTGCACTCCAGCCTGGGTGACAGATCAAGAGCCTATCTCTAAAAAATAATAATAATAAAAAAATGAATATTTCTTGAAGTCACTCAATTCTTGCAGAGGCCATAACATGCAGTAAGATTTCAACTGGGAAGGAAGCTGGACACAGCTGCAGACTGTATAAAGCATTAGGAAAGCTGGCTAAGAGTAGACAGTAAAGAAGGTGGACCCAGAAATCGGACGCTTGCCCAGCAGCTTCACCAAACATGGAGAGAAAACTGTGCACAGTCAACATTCTTCTGCTGATGTACCTTCCTTCTTCCTCCTCTCAGTCTGTGGGAGACAGATCTGTGAACTGACAGTATGATTGAAATCCAGCTGTAGTAAAGCTTAATAGCAGAAAGCTGAAGTCTGACCTACCCAGTTTGTGGATAGATATCAAGCATAGGTAATCTATTGCTCAAATAAAAATGATAAGCAGCAAGACAAAAATATTGATATGGAATTATGAAAATAATCTATGGTATAATAAATTAATTACATTCAAGATGGAAAAACAAAGCAAAATTTACAAGTTACCTACTATATAGGAAATAGGAGGTAAATATTAGAAACTTATGCTTCATGTTCCCAATAAAATTATAAAAACATATACTATTGAAGGTCAAATGAGGTTAAATTACAAATTAGATATAAGTGTGCCTGGGTAAAAGGCAGCAAAAAGAAAAGGGCAGGTAAGAAGTCCAAAAGACGCAAAATTATAACACGTATCTAGAATGAAGGCAGTAAAGATAGAATTGACACTATAGAAAATAAAACTAGTGATGTGAAGAATATACTTAAAAGATTCTTTCAGAATGCAGAGAAAAAGAACAGATATTTAAAAGATGAGAGAAATAATATTATAAAGGGATGATAAAAAGAAAAATCCAATGTTATTAATAATTCATATTCCAGATAATACCAGAAGAAAATGAGATAGAAACAATAGGTAAAGATGTGATACAAGAAAATTGAAAGACGTTAGGACAAAAAGACTCCCTAAGGGCAGATTAGTGGAAAAAACCACACATCTCCTGAAATTTTAACATTTCAGGATTGAAGAATGAGTACTACATGCATGCAGGTAGAAAAAAAGCAAAGCTAGAAACATTAAGGTAGAAATCTAATAAAGTTTATACTCCCCCCAAAAAAGCCTCAAATATCACACTCCTAATTAACTCTAGGGTCAAAGAGAACTCAAAACTCCTGTCAGGAGACAATTTAAAAATAAGTCTCAATAGCAAATTAGTAAAGAATAATCACAGGCAATTTACAACATGAAAATAAAATTAATAATAAAACAATACAACAGCAATCATTATATAGCACTTATTTTATACCAGGTACTATTTAAATGACTTAAGTATATTACATATGTTTACATATATAAGTCATTGCATAATTGGGCAATACATTTATCAAAAATGTAACCTTACCATTAATTAAAAAAATTAAAATTTTAAAAACAATGAAGTTGTTAAAAATTATAGTTTTATCATATTGGCAATGATTATATTAATTATAGCCAATGGTGCCAGGATATATGAAGTAAACACTCTCACCAAAGTTGGTAGGAGTGCAAATAACACAACCAATCTGAAAGGAAGTTTGGAAAAATTTATGAAAATTTAATATACCTATACCCAATGACTCCCAAACAATTCTATGTCTAGAAACCCACACAAAAGAAATAAGTTTGCTGATTAAGGAGGTATGTACAATCATTTTCAATCCAACATATTGTTGGTTTCTACTTTATTAATTATTTAGCTCTCATTATATAGTAAAGATACTAACATAGAAACAGGAAACACTTTAATATTCTTCAATAGTGGGTAGTTTAAATAAATTATAGTATAGCCAGGCTGTAGAAAACTATGCAGCTATTAAAAATGAAGATATAGGCTGGGCGCGGTGGCTCACGCCTGTAATCCCAGCACTTTGGCAGGCCAAGGCAGGCAGAGCATTTGAGGTCAGAGGTTCGAGACCAGCCTGGCCAACGTGGTGAAACACCATCTCTACTAAAAATACAAAAAAAAAAAAAAAAATTAGCCAGGTGTGGTGGCAGGTGCCTATAATCTCAGCTACTCAGGAGGCTGAGGCAGGAGAATCACTTGAACCTGGGAGGCAGAGGTTGCAGTGAGCTCAGATGGTACCATTGCACTCCAGCCTGGGCAACAGAGCAAAAACTCCGTCTAAAAAAAAGAAGAAGAAGAAGGAGAAGAAGGAGAAGAAGGAGAAGAAGAAGATGAAGATGAAGAAGAAGAAGAAGAAGAAGAAGAAGAAGAAGAAGAAGAAGAAACAGATTTGCATTTTCTGACATTAAAATATTATCTAAAAGGGAAAGAAATATAAAATTGCCTAAATATAGTGTGATGTCATTTTTTAAAAATATGTATAGAAAGAAAAAGAGAACAGAGGAAAGAGAACAACCTAAAAGAATGTCTCAAAGGTTAAAATGTATTAAATTTAGTAGTTAAATTATGAGTGTTCTTTATTTTCTTGTTTCTATTTTTCTGAAGATCATCTGAAAAAATAACATTGTATTTCATTTTGTTTAATTATGAGAGATGACTAATAATGTTTTTGGTAACATTCATATAATCTTTCATTATTTAATCAACAAATAATAATATTAACTAAACATACAATTTTTATAAATTAGAGGATAAAGTAAACCCAAAGGAAGCAAAAAGAAGGAATTAAAAGTTAAAATCTGTTTTAATAAATTAGGAATTGGAAAAGGACAGAATCAAAAACAAAACCATGAGAAATTCTTTGGACAAAAATAAGCTTTAGGAAAAATTAGGAATGCGTAAGTAGAAAAATTAACAGATTGAGAGTAGATTTTTTTAATTGTTAAAAATATGTACATATAATTCTATGAAAATATACTTAAAGTCTCAATAGAAATTACATGTTTATAGAAAAAAATACAAATTTCCAAAATCAAATTAAGAAGATATAGACAAACTGAATAGATAATGATGACAAAAACAATGTAAAGCTTTGGCAAAGATTATTTCCAGAATATGGTTCCAGGCCCCTTTAGTTTTATATACAAATTATAGAAACTTTCCAAGTAATTGGTGATTTTCAAACGATTAATAATCGCTTCTACAGGCTAGAAAAACGTGCAACTTTTAGACACCATTTTTAGAAACTAATAAATCCCTAATTCCCATATCAGACAAAAGTAGAACACAGATATTACCCCTACTCCCCCCAAAAAAGGCTAAACTCACATTTGAATAAGACTTATATAAGCAAAATTCTAGCAGAGACAAATCACATGATACTAACACCAATACAAAGGTTCTAGGGTAGCTCACCATTCCAGAACCCTCCTCTCAGGCCATACTTCTCTCTCCTTGCAGAATTAGCCTCTTTAGGGCCACCTAAGCCCATAACACAAAGATATGAAACCCCACTGTGGACAGACCTGAATCCATTTTGGTTTCTGTTAAACATCAGTGATTTCAAGTCACTGAAGGGGAGATGACTGTCATCTAACTTCACTTACCAGAAGAATCTGGGTTTCAGCTGCTTCTCTTTGAGAAATGCTGACACAACTTTAGTTGTAATATACAACCAAAACAAGAGACAGGCTATAGGATTCAGAGGAAGAAGACAGTACTTCTGACTGGACAAATGAAGGATCAGGAAAGAGGCCACGGCATTTGAGCTGGCTTTTCAAAGACAGGGTTGCATTATCACACTACACATGGACAGGAATGTAACAGAGTACTTTATTTCACAGTCAAAGAAGAACCCAGGTCCAGTAAGTTATCATGGTCATAAATACACAGTATTGTCTAACTTAGGGCTGCCAGATAACATATAGGCCACCCAGTTCGATTTGAATTTTAGATAAATGATTTTTAGTATAAGTATGTCTGAAACATGCAATATTTGGGGAGAAATCACCACAGGGCCAGGAGTAGATTATCAGAAAGTTCAGCAGAAATGCTTTCACGTGCATTTTGGGCATTTGGAGAATGATTTGTATAGTCTTTCATTCATTCCTTACTCCTTAAATCCTCTTAAAAATTCAGCGGGATTCACGGAAGTGCCTATTTATGCACATTTCAGACCCACTCATGCTGGGCAAAGGAAAGGGAAGACTCTAGAGTCCCCGAGGAGACAGTACTAGACTAGAGACAAATTTAAGTAGTGAGCCTTGCTCCTGTCTCTACCAGGACACAGGGTGCACCAAGCTCTTGGAACTGGCAGATTCACGGGGGACCAGGTCAGGGTACAAACAGCCAGGCCAAAGACAGAGAATCCAGGAGTTTGGCAAAGACAGCCATTTTTCCTGGATGCATCACTGAATTATGAGTTTTAAAGGAATTGCAGTTACCATTATGGTATTTGGGATTTCCACAAAACTGTTAAATATTTCCCAAGAGGAGCCAACTCCAAAAATAGCCACAGATAGATAGGTAGATAGATGGATGGATGGATAGATAGATAGAGAGATAGATAGATAGACAGACAGACAGACAGATAGACAGACAGACATAGAGATCCTGGTTACTTAATAAGAAGTAATTATAACATTCCAATACATTTTCAATGCTATCGAAAAGCAAAAGAAATTACAAGAAGAACTGTTGATCTTTACAGCATTTTCTCATTCCCCTGGCAGAAATCTGGGACCTTGTGATCTGGAATAGGGGTATCCATGGTCTAGGATGAATTCTAGTATCCTCAGGCAGATCTGGGAACCCAAGTTACTCGCAGAGGAGTGAACTGGAAGCGGGTGTGGAAAATAGGCTCCGGCTCCTGAGTGACTTCAAAACAGAAGGATTTTCAGAGGCAGGGAATTTCTGAGATTCTAAGGAGATTTTTAGAATTTTCTTCCCCCAGAGGGAGGAAACTAGGTCATGTGCTCTTAACCCAGTGAGGTTTAGGGCCATGGTGTGGGGAGAGAAAAGATAGTTGACCTTAATTAGCTACAAAAAAAGCCCAGAACTCTTGGGATTAATCCAAAATCAAGCACAACTTCTAGTGGGGAGATTCAAGCTCCCAAATTCAAGTATTAGTAGAATGAAGCCAAATCTAGGACAGCTCCTAAATAATTACCATTAAACTAACATTCACATGTTGTAAGAACTAAATTTATCCTCGCCACAGCTCCTATTTATAGAAAAGGCTCAGCCACTACCAGATAGCAAGCTCTGTGAAGGGATGGACTACGTCTGTCCTTTTTACTGCTGTATGCCCAGGGAATGGAAAGTAGTTGTTATATAGCTGATACTCATTAAAGCTTTGTTGAACTGAATTGTTCAAAGCCACACAATGAGTTAGTGTGAGAGCTGGGATTTTAACCCCAATTTGACACCAAAAACCATGCTTTCATCTATATTACACTGCCTGCCAAGGCAGACTTAGACTAGAAATGATCCCAAGGCAAACTCCTGCTCTGGTTCTCTTCCTAAAGCTCTCCTGGGGTCCACCAAGATGAACCAGGAGAATCACTTGGAGGGGCACCTTTGGGAAAATTTATGAATCTAGAAATTGTGGCAGACACTACTAGTTGTCTTTCAAAAATCTATTTTTTCCATTTGCCTCTTGCTAAAAGAAACTTGATTTATTCAGGTAACGAAGTTCCCATTTTTGAATACTTTCTTGAAATATTTGGTATCTTCATTATGATAATCATTGCATAAGTGTACACACATATCAAAACTCACCAAAATGCATACTTTCTACATATGTAATTTATTTTATGTAAATTATACTTCAATAAAGCAGTAAAACACACACACACATACACACATACACAACCCACACACACCTCCCCAGACTTTGTTGTAATACATTTCTGGCCAATGAGATATAAACGTAAGTCTGCTGGATGGAACATCCATTAAAGTTATTATTTTACTGGAAAAAGAGAAAACTTGTCTGGATGAACATTTAACTTTTGAATTTCCCTTTTCTTTCTGCATAGAAATGGAACAGCTGTCATGAGAGAATGAGGGCAAAATTCACAAGCCAAGGCTGGTGGAACAGGAAAGCTAGAAGGAAACTCGGTCCTTCATGACTTTCTTGAGAGGCTGCCCCAACTGTGGCCTGTCCATCTCCTGACTTCTTATTTTGGGAGGAAAAAAAATTCCTGTTTGGTTGACCTGATTTAGTATGGTTTGTGTATATGTCGCTGCCTGCAATTACCAAATGACAATATTCCCATGCAAACTGTAAGGCAGATATTACAATGCCATTCCTCAAAAATGTTCAATTGCTGTAGAGTAAAATCTAAAGCATCTCTAGCCGCATTCCCTACTACGGCCTTCCATGAACACTTCCTTCCAGCCCCAGCAGGCTGTTTGCCATGTTTCAAACAAGCAATACATTTTAAGACTAATGCTTTTCTCTCAACCTGATACATCCTTTCTTCCATAAACTTTGACAGACCCTGAAAAATTCAAAGAATTGATGCAGGCTACAGTTAGCCAGTGGAAGACTTGAGAGGAAAATTTACATTTCCTGAATATAAGCCAAGTGATCTTTGTCCTATGTACCCACTTCTTTGTTTGTGTGTGCCCACTTCTGAAGCAGGGAAATCAAATGCTCTAACCAAAGGATCTAATTTATTCTTGGCTTTTACTTAATATCAAAAACTCTCACTTTAAAAAATAATTTTTTTTTGCAATTATGTAAGAACAAAAAATCTTATCTACAACGTCATTAGAAAAAAATTAAGATTATTAAAATTTTAAGATTATTTCTTCTTGTTCTACAGTGTCTGATTATACACGAAGATATAAGGTTTCTGTTTTATATATGTAATAGAACACATATGTAAATATGTTATCTTACAGTCGAAACTATACAGGCTAATTATTGTGTTCTAACATGCTGTGTGGTAGACAAACACCCAAGTTACTGACCAAAATATTTTGTTTCTAGAGCTACTTATTAAGTAACTAGGAGAAAGTAATTAAACCTTCCAGTTCATCCATCTGTCAAGGAGAGAAAATATTGTATCTGCCATCTGTCCAGATTTCAGTTATGGAAAATATTGATGAGAGGAGCTAAACCAATATAGGGCTTTATGTCAACTCAATTAAAAGAGTTAATCCATATTGAATGTTCTGTTCTGTGAATCAATTTTTTTATTTTTGTTTTTTGAAGTATTTTAAAATACAAAGAGTAATGTAACACAAGTTACTTGCCACATAGACCTAACATGTTAATATTACTCCATTTTTGCTTCCTATTTACTTATTCTTTTAATAAAGTGTTCTAGATACAGCTAAAACTTGAATCCCAGTCCTATATCTTTCCTCTCCTGTTTCCTCAGAGGTGTTCTGAAGTTTTAGGGAATCAATTCCACGAAAGTTTGCATAATTTTACTAAATATGTATCCATGAATTAAAATAGTATTTTGGGGTCTTTACATTTTATATATTTGATATTGTATCTACATATAGCAATTTGCATTTTACATTGAATATTTTGGTTTTTGAATTTTTAATACTAATAGATGCAGATTGGTTGAAGTGCTTCATTTTAACTGTCAAATAGTAATAACCCACAGTTAATTTGTTAATTCCCTTACTGGTGGGTTGTTAGGTTGTTTCCCCTTTTTTACTATTCCAAGCACTGCTGTAATAAGTATCTGTGTTAACATATGCAAGTGTTTCTCTAAAATATAGTACTGTGTTTTGAAGTAGAATTGCTATACACTTTGTGCATTTTTACAAACTTCCTCTAGAAATTTTCATTCATTTCTAGACAAATTTGGAGTAAATTAATACTTTTATGAATCTCTCTATCCATGAACATAGTATGCTCTCCAATTGGCTTAGAAAATAATCTATTTTATGTCTTTAAATAAAGTTTTGTAATTTCATGCATGAAGAAAGGAAAAGTTTTTGTGAGATTTTTAATAGGAACCTTATAATTTCTCTTTCTTTCTTGGCCCCAACTATCCCCCTCAATTTTTTGTTCTTTTTAAAATTGCATTTATACAAGGTTATGCTGTTATACACAAATTCTACTGAGTTTTTCGTATTAAATTTTGATTGTTAATTTTGTATTCTGCAACCTTGCTGAACACCATAAATTCTAAAACAATCTTTTCTCCATAGATTTTCTTAGGTTTTCCAAATGTCCTTTTCTGCAGATCCCCATAGATTTTCTTGCAGACAACCATATTTGTGGGTAAGGACAATGTTATTTGTTTTCAATCCTTGTAGTTTTTATTTATTTGTTCTATGTTATTTTGTTAACTAGGACTTCCAGTATCACACACAGTATAAGTTGTGAAAATTGGCCTTTCAATTTTGTATCAGTTTTCTCTATTTGCATCAGAGTCACCTAGTAACATTTTTAGAAATGCAGATTCCCAGCTTCCAACACTCTCATCCTCCAGAGATATCAGTTCATAGATTTAGGGTGGGATTGATCAATTTCAATTTTTTGTAAGTATCTTCTCCCCAAAATTCTGATGGAAATTGACCCCGGATAAAACTTTAAGTACTTTTCTAGCTAAATATATTATGTATGAAAAGTTTATTGTTATTTATATTGAATCTCCAATATTTTAGTTCTTTTACCACCAACACATACCATATTTTCTTTAAAGCACCATGGACCTATTGGCACCCCTTTCTCCCCAGTCCAGCCCTGATCAGAAAAAAAAGCTTAGGATCCACTTGCAATTGGGATTGGCATCATGAACCAGTTTTCATTTTCCAAAACCTACCGGTAATCTCCTCAGTTCTGATATCCAGCTACAGTATGGTATATGTTGGTGGTAATGGAAGCTAAATAACTTGGCCACTGCCAAAATTCAATGTGCTTTTTTTTTGCCTTTTTATGTTTTTATTTCTAGTAATAATTGTTGTTCCACAATGAAGATAATAAACAATAAAGTATTACCCAACACAATTATTTTTATATTATATCATAATTATTCTAACAGCTTTATTGAGATATAATTTATACCATAAACTTCACCTGTTTAAGTGTGTTTAAGTGTACAATCCAATGGTATTTAGAATATTTACAGAGTTGTGCAACCATCACTCAAATCTAATTTTAAAACATTTTCATCATCTCATAAAGAAACCCATCCCCATGAAAAATCACTTTCTATTCTTTTCTCCCCTTCTCCTGCAAACCCTGGTTAAGCGCATTATTTTCTGCCTCTATAGATTTGCTTATTCTATTCTGTTTTGTGAATACATGAAATCATACAATATGTGGTATCTTACGACTGGCTTCCTTCATGCAACATATTTTTAGGTTCATCCATGTTGTAGCATATATCAGCACTTCATTCCTTTTTGCGGCCAAAGACCATTCTATTCTATGGACATAAAACATTTTTGTCTATTTATTCATCAGTTCATGAACATTGCGGTTGTTCCTACTCTTTGGATATCATGAATTATATTTCTATGAACACTCATTTACAAGATGTTGTTTAGACATGTTTTCAATTCTCTTGGGTGTATATTCTAGAAGGAGAATTGCTAGATCATATGGTAAATCTATGTTTACCATTTTGAGAAACTGCCAAACTGTTTTCCAAGGTGACTGTACCATACTTTTTCCCACCGGGAAAGTATGAGGTTCCAATTTTTCTACATCCTTTCAGCACTTGTCACTGTCTTGATTATAACTATTCTAGCGAATGTGAAGTAGTATCTCGTTGTGGTTTTGATTTGCATTTTCCTAATGGCTAATGATGTCGAACATCTTTTCATATGCTTGTTGATAATTTGTAAATCTTCGTTAAAGAAATGTCTATTCTTATCATCTGCCCCTTTTTTAAAACTGAGTTGTCTTTTTGGAGTTGTAGGAGTTCTTTATATGGGTTGGATACAAGCCCATTTTCACATATGTCATTTACAAATATTGTCTCCCAGTCTATAGACCTTCTTTTCACCTTCCTGATGGTGTACTTTGAAACATAAACGTTTTTAACCTTGGTGAAGACCAAGTTAACAATCCTACTTTCATTGCTTACGTTTTTGGAGTCATATCGAAGAAATCATTGCCTAACCCAAAGATCATAAAGATTTACTTCTGTGTTTTCTTCTAGGAGTTTTATTATCATAATTATTTTTATAGATGTGAATGAATGGAAAGTGAGATTTAAAGTGGTATAATCAGAGAGCTATCAAGGGGGAAGTTTCAAGTATTTAATTTTACAGATGATAATTATTAGGATTATGCGGTGGCTTCTGGGCATTAACACTAACCACAGATAAATTGATAAAATTTAAATTGATAAAGAGAAGACAGTGCCAATGAAGACAGTGGACCTAAAAGGACTTACAGAGTAGGTAGGGAACCTGGATTGGAGAGAAGTCAAAGGAAGACTTTGTGCCTCTGCCTAGGGCATCCCTGGGGGACACTCCAATGCAGGTCCAACAGCTTCTGACCATAGGAAAGAAGTCAGAAACCCTAAGTCTCTGTGCTCATACTGCAGGACATCAGCTAGAACCCATTTTCAGGCTCTATAAGAAGTTCTTCCATGTAGGCTTGGTCACTTGTCACCATGAGAATGGACGTCTATCCTTCTCCAAATAGTAGTATGTTTGAGCACAAGAAAGTGTCTGCTTTGTCACTATCCCTGACACCTCTCAGGTTCAATAGCTAAATAACAAAGGTCACTGATAAACAGCTGTCTGCGTCCAGGTGGGAGAAGGACAACAAGGATACTCTTGTTTTATAACAGAAGGAACACGGGGGGAGGATAAAAGAAGAATTTATTGATGGTTTGTCAAAGTAACTTCATCAAATAAACAAATAATTAACTATGATCATAGGGATTTTGAATTTTTTTCAGTTTTCCTCTTCACATTTCTTATATTATGTAAAGAAGAAATGTCTCCTAATTCAGAGAATAGATTACGGGAGTGAAAAACAGGGCACACTGTATTAAAACATTATTCCTTAAAACACAATACAGAATAATCATGCATAATGTTCACTGTCAACAACTTGATGTGTTGAGCTATACATTCACTAAATTTAGAATTCACTCTAACTTAAAAAAGATTGTTCTACAATACAACACTCCTGCAGTACTGTTGTGGCTATCGGGCTCAGGAAGATACCACTGTTTAACATCTGCATCTCTGTGCTTCTCCAAGCTTCATTTTCTTTATGGTGCTGCCACTGCCATGGAAATAGTGTCTTTTTTTTCCAATGGATGCTTTCTAAACTAAGTCATTGTACTGTGAAAGCATTCTGAAAGGCATTGTTGATGGAAAGCAAGTGCAGTCATAACACTGCTGAAGCGTGAAAGGTCATTTGATGGCCTATGGGAAAGCAAAATGTCTTCTAAGGAGAAGGAGCAAAGTATCCTTTGTATCTAGTATCCTTCACATAACTAACTAAAAGTGCTCCTAAAATACGATTTCATTTGTGTTTGTGATACAGTTCATGATTATTCTCTATTCTGTAAAGAAAACTTACAACTTTCTTTTCTATAGAATCTTTGGAAAATCATCCATTCTCACCTGGTAAAATGATTTGATGGGTCCTCTCTCAAAGCCAGGTAATAGATAACATGGATTTTTGAATCTTTTCAACCCTAGAATTCTATGGTCACATAAAATCGTTATTCTAAAGGTAGAGGAAAACCAATCAGATAAGATTTTTATTACACAAAAATAATTGGTAAATCCAGGAAGAGCACATGAATTTTCAGATAATTTTGGTACAGTATGTCATATATTCTGAGATATTATTACCTATATATTTTATTATTACTCTTTAGTTTTGCTAAACATTTGCTTATATTTTTCTATTTTGATATAATTTTACCTACTTGTTCTTAAAAACACCTTTCAGGATAAGAATTTGAGGTTTTGAAATACAGTCAACTTTGTAAGCATGCTGACACATTAAACTCCCTCAATATTAACATGACTCACAATGGTTACCTCTTGTTAAATCAAGGCTTTCAATATGAAAATGAATCATCTAATAATCCTTAACTTGTGAAGCCTTTTCACGCAAAGACAGGCTATAAAATTTATGCGTATTAGCAAAAAGGATTGCAAATGCAGGCACGAATCTAGGGGACAAATACAATTTACTGCAGTACCATACTTAACAGGTTTAATCAAGACAATAACCCATTTATTCATGTAGAGACAAATCTGGTGATAGAACAGGGGCAGATAGTGAGAGGGAAAGATAATAAACAAGAAATTAGAAGAGCTGGATTCCAACTGAGACTATGCTACAGTGTATTTTATAAACTTGGGCAGATTAATCTTTCAGGGTGTATTAATTAGAAATGTACAGAGGTATGAGTAACAGAAAAACTGACTGAAAGCTACAAGTGACCTATGAAATAAAGACAATTAATTGTCTCACACAGAAAGAAATCCAGAGGTAGGATGTTCCAGATTTGGTACAGTGGCTAGCTGAATCGAGCTCTTTCCATCCTCCTACTCTGCTCTCTCTCCATCATTAGTCTTAGTCTTGCCACCTCATAGGTCCAAGATGGCCGCTAAGCTCTAAGCATCACATTCCCATTCAAAAACATGCAGCCATTTCTAGCCTTTGTAATCACAGACACACACATACACATGTGCGTGCACACACACACACACACACACACAGAGAGAGAAAGAGGGAGACTACAAAAAATGTGAAATCGGTGAAGCTGAAAATCATTTTTATCAAGGCACTTTTTATTTTTAACAGTGACAAAATCCACCATACTTGCCCTTACACATTGTTGGCCAAAACTTAGTCGCGTTGCCACCCCTTGTCTGATACACAAGCGAGTGTGGGAAAGTGACTGCAAAGGAAGACACACGAGGGAAAAGGGAGCCTCAAGGCTTTATCTAGAAATTGTGGAAGTTGGGTAAACTGATATCTAAGATAGAGCTCCAGGCTACCATGTAATTTTTGAAAATAAAAAGTAACAAAAAACAAGGAAGCTGACTCTTATTTTACACTTTTAAAGAGACTTCTGTTTTTATTCTAATTTCCCATGATGGCACTTTTTCCCCCTCTCTAAAAACAAAAACAAAACAAACTTCCTCCATCCAGGATTCTGAATTTCTACAGTGAACAGTCTCTCCCCTTCCCTAACTAGAAAAAAACCTGAGCGGTCCAGACATTGAGTCATTCAATTTAACTTTGATGGAGCTGCACCTATTTTTGAGGTTTTGCCATCGTGGTTTAAGAACACTGTCTACAGACACTTTGGAAATTTTTCCCAGCACCTCTCTGAGTTTATGCTGTACTAAATTTAAACTGGAAAATTCAAGATGTAAAAGGCTAAGTAAATAATTCTATTGAAAAAAGCACAAGTGATTATCTTCTTTTAAAAAAATCCAAAGAATTCAAAATGTATTGAATTTGTCCAACTAACATTCCATTTGTGGTATCTCATAACCCCATGTAATATTGCAATGTACTTCTTCTGCTTCATTTTTTACAGAGAATTACACAGCTGCCTCTTATTATTAAAAGCACCCTCCCCCTCACTCTCTGAATAAACTGTGTGTTCTGACATTAAACCAAGACACTACACAAGAAGATCCTGGAAGCCAGGATGCCGCCAGCTTTGTATGCCAGATGTGATTACAGAGCGACAGCGAACAATGCTGCAATCAGCCCATTGGTTAGCTAGAAACCGTGGACACTCAGAAGAGGTTCAGTCTGAATACATAGCCAATAGTGTGTTAAAAACTACCATGCAAAAGTGCTTGTTTTACCAAGATATTCTATGGGAATATTTAGCTGTTACATTGTAAATGCTGTTATTTTGGTTTCTAAAAATGTCATGACAGGAAATGATTCCAGGGAGGAGCGGCCAAGAGGGCTGTTGGGTAGAACAAGTGGGGGAGAAAGTTAAACCTAGAAATCAAGAAGCCAGAAAAGGTGAAAACATGAATTACTATCTGCAATAAAACAGATTCTTAAAATACATTTGATTTTTTTTTAAATCTTTTTTTGAGGCAGGGTCTCACTCTGTCACCCAGGCTGAAGTGCAGTGGTGTGATCTTGGCTCACTGCAACCTCTGCCTCCCAGGCTTGACCGATCCTCCCACCTCAGCCTCCTGAGTAGCTGGGACTACAGGCACGTGCCACCACCCCACCCCTGGCTAATTTTTTGTATTTTTTATAGAGACAGGGTTTTGCCATGTTGCCCAGGCCGGTCTCGAACTCCTGAGCTCAAGCAATCTGCCCACCTCAGCCTCCCAAAGTGTTGGGATTACAGGCATAACCCACCATGCCCAGCCTACATTAGATCTTTTATGCTCCATTTGCCTTCTCCCAGAAGGCTGGTTATGTTTTGAAGAGTTCCTACTGTTCATTGGTACAACGGTTGTAAGGTCCTGGTCCCCTGGCTTTGGACCAATTGCCAGGTGGACATAAACTAAGGGAAGACACCCAGTCTATATGGGGCTAAGAAACCACTCTGCCCCTTCTTGATTCTCTGCAGCTACAACCAATGGGCAGTTAAGACCTTTGGGTAAGAATTTCTGCAGGTTTGGAAATGCTCATATTGACACTATTTTTATTTATCTCCCTGTCTGAGAAGTGCAAGGTGGGGACATATTAGAAGCTGATCAGAGAGTAACTACAGTTATTAGTTACTTATTAGTTATTAGAAGTTTGACCTTCTCAGAGGGACCCAAAGATACATAGTGCAGTAACTGGTGAGCTGTAGAATTTCATAGAAAAAGAGAAAGAAGAAAAAGGAGAAGAAGAATGGTGAGGCGGGGGGCAAGAATTAAATTTCTTTTTCTCCCTGAATAGATTTGTATTATAGAACAGCTCTCTCCAAGAATAAAGTGTTTGGTTTATCCAACTTACTTCTCATAGACAATGTTTATCAATTATGTGTCTATCTTTGAGTAATAATTTGTATTCTTTTACCTCTGTTTCTGTTAGATCTACAAAGACTCAGAAATCACAACAGACTCTCAAGAAAATCATCTCAGATAGAGAAAAATATAGCTATTTACATATACATTAGTAAGGTGGGTATAAGATAACTCATCAGTAAAAACTTTTCAGAAAATTTCCAACATATCTATAATTTTACCTTCACTGCTTTTCAAATAAACCCAATGCCCCCCAACATAAATGAGCTTTTTCCAGTCTTTATTTTTAGACTTCCACTTAACTCTTTTCTATCTATGATCTTTGTGTGTTTTTAAAGTATAAATTGCATACAGTTTTATAATTCCAGCTGTTATATCCCTGTATGCCCCCATTTACACACCGTCTTGAACACAAAACTGCTAATGTGTATATATCATTCTACATTTTCATAAATCTGTTTGGGTTTTAACCAAACAAGGTAGAGAGAGAAAGTAAGGAAAAAAAGGAAGGGAAGGAGGGAGGGAAGAAAGGAAAAAGAAGGAAAGGAAGGAAAAAAACAAATAGCAACAAAGTCAATAAATACTTATTAAATACCATTGTTGGTATATGACACAGAGGTGGTACAATTGCCTCTACATTGGTGTTATTTTAATTTGATTCCACATATGTGATATTGATTTTAAACTTAGAGTCTGATGTAAGATCGAAGCTAGAAAAGTTACCTCCACGCCATCAACATGTAAGGCCTGCCAACATGATGGGTGGGCCTTCACCCTTGAATCAGGGAGTGGAGCACATGACCTAGGTCTGGACAATTAGAACAACTAATTCCTAGATACCCCAATTAATTTAGGGGTGGGCACATGAGCTGAGTTGGCCAGTTCAGAGTAAATCTTGAATCCTGAAACTCATGTGTAAGTCACAATAAGAAATGCTTTATTTTCTCCATTGTACTTAGTCTAGAGGGGAGCTGCTGGCAACCCATCTGGCCATCATGCATCATCTGAGAAGGTAAATTAGTATCCCGTGGCTGCCATAAGAAATCATCATAAATTGGTGGCTTAAAACAACATAACTTTATTCTCTACTAGTGCTAGGGGACAGGATTCTGTTCAATATTCATTTCAATGACTAAAAGCACAATGTTGACAGGACCTTGCTTCTTCCAGATGCTCCAGGGGAGAATCGGATCCTTATGTCTTCCAGCTTCTGGTGGCTTCATCAGTCCCATCTCTGCCACCATCTTCACATTGCTCTCTCCTCTTCTGTGTGTATCAAATCTTCCTCTGCCTCACTCTTAAAGACAGGTGTGATTGATTAGATTTAGGGCCCACCCAGATCAACAGAATAGTCTCCCCAAGTCAAGATGCTTACCTTAATCACATCTAAAAAGACCCCTTTTTCCTTAAAAGGTAATATTTACAGGTTCCAGAGATTAGGGCCTAATATCTTTGGGTGGCCATTATACAGCCTACTAAAGAAGGCAACAGAAAAGTAGAGACACTGGGTTCTGACAACACTATCTAAATGTCTGGATTACTCTTCACCCCACATAACTTATCCCTGGACTTTTCAGTTGTGAGCCCCAAGATTTGTCAGTTTGAATTGAGTTTTCAGTCACTTTGATCCAAGACAGTTCTGATTTAGGACTTCTAGTTGAGCTTCTAAGTCTGTATTTTTGTGCTGGGTAACATTATGTATATCCTTTTTCTCTTTCTGTGGATCAGAGAGATTCAGGCTCCTTTCTTTACCTTTTTATAACCATCACAATCTATTCTTTTTCTATAGGATCCACTCTGCCGAGACCAATTGCTTAGCTCACTATTTCTTTCTGTACCTAATATCAGTGCATGGTCATATTTTGTTGTTAACCTGCTTGTTAATTCCATGAAGATGTACAGAAAAGATTAAAGTTTTAATATTCTCAGAAAATTCTCATGACAGTAATTACCTAGTCTATTAACATCTATTACACAAAAGGGTGAGCCCAGGACATTGACGATCTCTCAAGAGATAAATTCAAGGACAGATGGAGAAGAAGCAGGGTCAATACCACCCAGGAACACCTGCAGCCATGTATTAGTCTCCTAGGGCTGCCATAACAAAGTACCACAAATGGTGTGGCTTAAAACAACAGCAATTTATTCATTCACAGTCTTGGAGGCTAGAAGTGTAAAGTCTAAAGTCTAAGTGCCAGCAAGGCCATGGTCCCTCCAAAGATTCTAGGGAAAAATCCTTTCTGAACTCCTCCTAGCTTCTGATGGTTGCTGGCAATCCTTGTTCAAATCTCCCTTTGCTCATAATGACATGAAATCATTGAAATAGACCCATCCTAATCCACTATAACCTAATTTTTTTCTTTATTGATACATAATGTTTTACATATTATGGGGTACATGTGATACCCCAAATACTCTGACTTGATCATTACACATTCTATGCATTTTAAGTACTATTTAATACATCACCTTGAATATTTAATATTTATTTGTGTTGGTAACATTTCAAGTCCTCTCATCTCTCTACTTTGAAACATGTAATCTATTTTTGCTAACTATGGTCACCCTAGTCTGCTATCAGACATTAGAATATATGTCTTCTATGTAACTGTAAGTTTGTACCCATTCACCAACATCTCTTCATTTCCCCTTCCTACCCTCACACCCTTTCTCAGCCTCTGGTATCTCTCCTAGTCCTATCTCCATGAGGTTAAGTTGTTTAGCTTCCACATATGAGTGATATGAGTGAGAACAAGCAGAATTTGTCTTTCCATGCCTGGTTTATTTCACTTAACATAATGACTTCCAGTTCCATCCATGTTGCTGCAAATGATATGATTTCATTCTTTTTCATGGCTGAATAGTATTCAATTATGTATATATACCATGTACTCTTTATTAGTCCACTGATGGACACTTAGGTTGATTCCATATCTATGCTATTGTGAATGGTGCTGCAATAAACATAGGGGTGCAGGTATCACTCTGATATACTTACTGATTTCCTTTGGATAGATATATATTAGAGGGGAGGGATTGCTGGGTCATATGGTAGTTCTATTTTTAGTTTGAGAAATCTCTGTATTTTTTTTCATTGTGGTTGTACTAACTTACATTCCCATCAATGGTGTATAATAATTTATTTTTCTCCACATCCTGACCAGCATCTATTATTTTTATCATTTTAATAATAGTCATTCTGACTGGGGTAAGGTGATATCTCATTGTGGTTTTAATTTTCATTTCCTTGATGCTTAGGGATGTTGAGCATTTTGTCGTATACCTGTTGGCCATTTGTATGTCTTCTTTTGAGAACTGTTTATTCATGTTCTTTGCCCAATTTTTAATGGGATTATTTGCTTTTTTAATTGTTGTGTTGTTCGAGGTCTTTGTATATTTTGGATATTAGTCCCTTGTTTGATGAATAGTTTGCAAATATTTTCTCCCATTCAACAGGTTGTCTCTTCACTCTGTTGATGTTTCCTTTGCTCTGATGATACTTTTTAGTTTAATATAGTCCCATGTGTCTATTTTTGTTTTAGTTGGCTGTGCTTTTGAGGTCTTAGCCATAATATTTTTGCCTAGACCATATGTCCTGAAGTATTTTCTCTATGGTTTTTTCTAGTAGTTTTATAGTTTCATGTCCTACATTTAAATCTTTAATCCATCTTGGGTTGATTCTTGTATGTGGGGAGAGATAGAGGTCCAGTTTTATTATTCTGCATATGGATATCTAATTTTCCCAACACTATTTATTAAAAAGCATGTCCTTTCCCCAGTGTATGTTCTTGGCACCTTTGTTGAAAATCAGTTGGCTGTAAATACGTGGATTTATTTCTGGGTGCTCTATTCTGTTCCTCGTCGACTGTGTGTCTATTTTTATACCAATACGATGCTGTTTTGGTTACTATAGCCTTGTAATATACTTTGAAGTCAGGTGGTGTGTTACCTCCAGTTCTGTTCTTTTTGCTCAAGATTCCTTTGACTCTTCTGGCTCTTTTTTTGTTCTAAATAAATTTTAGGATTTTTTTTCTATTTCTGTGAAAGATGACATTGGTATTTTGATAGAGATTGCATTGAATATGTATATTGCTTTGAGCAGCACAGTCATTTTAATGATATTGACTCTTCTAGTCCATGAGTGTGGACTGTTTTCCCATTTGTTTGTGTCCTCTTCAACTTCTTTCATCAGTGTTTTGTAGTTTTTCTTATAGCAATCTTTGACTGCCTTGGTTACGTTTATTCCTAGATATTTTATTTTTTGTCAGCTGTTGTAAATGGGGTTGCCTTGTTGATTTCTTTTTCAGCTATTTCATTATTGGTGTATATAAACACTACTGATTTTTGTATATTGATTTTGTATCCTGCAACTTTACTGAATTTGTTTACCAGCTCTAGGAGGGTTATGATGGAGCCTTTAGGTTTTCTTAACATAAGAACCTGCAAAGAGAGACAATTTTACTTCCTCTTTTCCAATTCGAATGCCCTTTATTTTTTTCTCTTGCCTGATTGCTCTGGCTAGGACTTCCAGTATTATGTTGAATAGGAGTGGTAAGAGTGGAGATCCTTGTCTTCAATATGACAAGGATACTTAACTTGACTACATCTGTGAAGACCTTATTTCCAAATAAGGTAACATTTCTAGGTACCAGAGATTAGGACTTCAGAATATGTTCTTAGAGACTACAAATCAATCCACAACAGGCCAAGGGAGGGCAAAGTGACATTCAAGTAATCCATAATGACCTAAACTCTGTTAAATTTAACATTGAAAATATATGTTGTGAATAAAATTAATTGTAATCTCCTTTAGTGAAGCACACAATTACAAATAATGGCACTAGGGAGTGATGCAACTCTTCCTTCTCTGACTAATATCATACCGACAAAGGGCATCACGGAATGTTGGTTTCTCTGCTGCAGAATGACTGAAATCTTGGTACTTTTGTTTCAAACAACTTACTAAACTCAAGAAAGACTCTCAGAAAAAAAGGATGTCAGGTAGTCTCACTAAATAGCCAACTAAGCTTAGAACTATTTAGAAACAAAATGAATCAAACAAGTTGAATCACTTCAGATGGTCACTTACTCGTCACAAATATTTTAAGTAGCACAGCTCCAACTGAGTGATGTCTTATTCATCAAAAAATGTCTTACAGAAATAATGTTTGAAACAGAGTCAGAAGGCCTAGCTTCTATGCCAGACTCTGTCACTAACCAAGTATAATTTTAGGAAAGATGTTTAAATGCTTTGGGTATCAGTTTCTTTTTTCTGTGAAATGAAGAGTTGATAATCTAGATAATTTCAAAGGTTTATTCCTCCTCACAAACATTTCCATTAAAATATTCTATTCTTTACCATGGTCATGTTAACATTTACATAACATGTTCTGAATAGCTCAATTAATTATAGGTAAGTCCTAGTGTACTTGAGGGTGTCTTTTACCATCTGAGATTAAAATGCATGAAGAGGGGGCACAAAACATTATAGACACCAGATGGCTGCCACAGCCCGAAGCATCATGTCTTCACAAAGCAATGTTCAAAACAGGAAGGGTAGGAAGAGAGTAGAGACTCCTCTTATATCTTTGTACTAAGGAGACAAACCCTTTTCAGATGCCTCTGAGCAAACTTCTCCTCACGTCCCATTAGCCAGGACTGAGTCACAGACCCACACCATAGCAACAAAGAGGCAGGGAAAACTAGTATTTAGCATTTTCAGTCTCTGTCGTGGGAGACAGGCTTTAACAACAAGGAAGAAAGGGGAAAGGAATGGCTGTTCATTGGGCAACATACAGCATCAGCTTCAGACATCCTGCTCCAAAAGAAAGTGACCTTAAAACCTTTGTACAGGCTCTGACAGACCTTTAGCAGGAGACAGAGTGGGGTCTTCTGTGGAGACAATGAGAAGGAATTTAAGAGATATTAAACATGCCAACCACCTACCTTTCTCTTTCTTTTCCTTTTCTTTTTTCTTTTCTTTCTCTCCTTCCTTCCTTCCTTTCTTCCTTCCTTCCTTCCTGCCTGCCTGCCTTCCTTCCTTCCCTTTCTTGCTTTCTCCTTCCTCCCTCCCTCCTTTCCTTCCTTCCCTTCCTTCCTTCTTTTTATTTGAGACAAGGCCGCACTTTGTTGCCCAGGCCAGAGTGCAGTGGCACAAACATGGCTCACTGAAGCCTTGACCTCCTAGGCTCAAGCAATCCTTCTGCCTCAACCTCCCGAAGTGCTGGGATTACAGGCATGGGCCACCATGCCTGGCCAGGCTGGCAACTTTGACATGGACTAGGCAATGCCACTTATTAGCTGTATAATCTTGGATCAGTTATTTAGTAGCTCTCTGAGGCTCACTTCCTTTATCTATAAAATGGGTATAATGCCTGTCTCATAGGTTTGTGACAGCCACTTTGGGGCTATGAGACAGGGGCAAAATGGATGAGAACCAAAAAATAGTTTTGAATGAAGCGTCTTAGGAAGGCCAGCTCCTGAATGCATAATAGAAGTAGATGGGGAAGAAAAATAAGAGATGTTCTTGAGGAGTGTGATTATGTGCTAAGCCTGAACCTCTATGAGTTCAAGAAATACAAATGAAAATTTTTGGTTAAATTGACATTATATATCTGTCATGACATAGCTCAAACAATTCACCACATGGGCCATGAAATCATACACATAAAAAATAATAGTGATAATACCTCACATTAACTGAGCACTTATCCTGTGCCAGGCATATACTACGTAGCTGTTCTGCACACAGCTTCATTTATTCCTCACAATGCCCCTAAGATAGGAACACCTAATATCTCCACTTTTCACCTGAAGAAACTGAGATTTAGTGACCTTAAGTAACTTGCCAAACACCCCACACAGTACATAACAAAGCAAAGGCTCAAGTTGAGGGCTGCCTGACTCTAAACTTCCCCTGATGTTGACCCACTTGGTGCCTCCCAGTGTGTTCTCCCGGCCTGCTGTGCCTCTCTCTAGTGTCACACTTGCCAGACCTTATTGAAGTGAGCTTTTCACTTGTCTTTCTATCCAGCTCGTCTGAAATATTTGTCTTTGGATCCTAAACCTAGCACATGTAGGAGTTAGATAAGTTTACCAACATAAATTAAATTAATGAACAAATAAACTGGAGGGTCGGCAATATAAAAGAGTGCTGAGTTCAGAAGAGGGGAGGTAGCCACAGGCAGCAGAAGTTGGGAAAGGCTTTGTGGGTGAGGCAGGGCCTTAGCCAAGCTGGAAGAGGAAGAAAACTTAAATGTGTAGGGAAGGTGGAAGAGAAGACTGGGAGAGAAATATTATTTTAGCAAAGGCCAAATGCCTAAAATGTTTTTTGGTTCTAATTCTACCTCTCCAGCAGAATATTTTTAGTTCATTATGCCATAGCATGAATAAATGTAATACATTATTTCCATGTCAGCCAGCCCCTTCTGCTGGACCACAGGCATAATATAGGGCCTCTGCTTCATTATGATCTCCTTCCAGATACAACAATCAACTGAAAATATAAAATTGCATTGAAGGTCAGAAACCCATAGACAGCTTGCATCCAACCACATATACTGCATTTAAAAAAATTCCATAGGAAAACATGGTCAGTGTTCACCTAGTGTGAGTCACATAGCATCCTAAAAACGATAGACTGTAATTTGAACCCATGCAAAACCTTTTAAACAGCTAATATTGCTAGCATCGAAAAAAGCAAACAGTCACTTTTTCTTGATTATTACTACTCAGAGGCCACCCCCCAGAACTTTCAATTAACTGAGGTAGGAGACAAAACACAAGAACGTAAGTATTATTTTCTGAACTTTTCATTGAAATATAGCATACACACAGAAAGTGTACATATTATAAGCGTACAGCTAATGAATTTCACAGTTGAACAGACCCTCGTAACCAATGTCTAGCTCAGGAAAGAACATTCACAGCAAACCATGCCTCATGCCTCATTCCACTCAGCATCCCTAAGGATAACCCTTCTCCTAATTACCAACACCAAAGTTAAGTTTTTCCTGTTTCTGTACTTTAGATATAAAAGATCCTGGAGCCTGTATTATTTTGGGTCTGGCTTCCGTCATTCAGCATTATATTTCTGACACTCATCCATATTGTTGTGCATAGTAATAGATCATCCATTCACATTTTTGTCCAGTAGCTGTTCTCAAAGTGTGGTTCACAAGTGTGATCCAGAAGTAAACTATTTTCATAAGTACAGGAACACATAATTTGCCTTTTTCATTGCACTGATAGCACAAAAGCAATAGTGGGAAAAATGGCTGGTACCTTACCACAAATCAAGGGAGCGGCACCAAATGGTTATAGTCATCACTGTCTTACTTTTCAACACCATGCACTACCAATCAACAGAAAGAAACAATTATTTTCCATAAAGCTAGTTTAACTTAATAATGTTCTTGGTTAAAAAAAAAAAATTTAATTTGGCCACTCGCAGTGGCTGATGCCTATGATCCGAGCACTTTGGGAGGCTGAGGCAGAAGGATCACTTGAAGCCAGAAGTATAGGACCAGCCTGGGCAACAAAGCAAGACCTCATCTCTATAAAAAAAAAAAAAAAAATTAGCTAGCATGGTGGTGTATACCTGTAGTCCCAGCTATTTCAGAGGCTGAGGTAGGAAGATCACTTGAGTCCAGGAGTTCGAGACTACAAGGAGCTATGATTGCACCACTGCACTCCACCTTGGGCAACTGAGTGAGACCTTGTCTCTAAAAAACTAAAAATAAAAAAATAATAATTTTATTACTTCTCAACTCTTGAGTACACATCTTTTTAATATTTTCTGTGTGATGTAAAGTGCTTATAAAATACTTCTGCAACAGAAAGCACAATGGATAAAAAGAGCTCATGAGGAGAATCAGTTGAGTTGTTAAGTTAAACTAGTCACTTTTGTCATGAAAAGCAATTTTATTTAAAGGAATGACGGGAAAACTGTTGTTATTCAGACTTAGGTACTTGGCAAACATTTTCTCAAAAATAAATGAAGTGAGCCTGTAACTTCCAGAAAAGCAACTGTCAGCATTTGATGCTAATGATAAAACTTGAGCTTTCAAACTAAAATTAGAGTTCTGGAAAACATATCCACCACCATGATCTTGAAGACTTCCTGATTTTAAAAAGTATTATATAAAGAAATATTGAAACATTTGTAGGATCTGAGTAATTCAGTGAATGAATATTGCCCAAATCACCAATGTATAACACAAAATCATGTGTGGGTAAAAGATCCACTCAAAGTACAAGGTAGACCAGTGGATTTTAATTTCATAGAAAATGGGAAGTTCATTGACATGGTTTCAGAATCCATACTGAAACCAATCTTTAAGACACTACCACTTTTCAACTCTTGGTGTATTATAAAGAAGAATATCCACATTTTTAAAAAGCAATTTATTACTTACCCGTGTGAGGTTGGATTTTTTTCATATATAGTTAACCCTTGAACAATGTGGGGGTTAGGGGAGCTGGCCTCTTTGCAGTTGAAAATCCACATATAATTTTTTTGACTCCCCCAAAACTTAACTGCTAATAGCCTACTATTGACCAGAAGCTTTACTGATAACATAAACAGTCAAATCACATATTTTGTTTATGTCCTATATACTGTATTCTTACAATAAAGCAAGCTAGAGAAAATAAATCTTATTAAGAAAATCATGGCCAGGTACAGTGGCTCACACCTGTAATTCCAGCACTTTGGGAGGCTTAGGTGAGCAGATCACTTGAGGCCAGGAGTTCGAGACCAGCCTGGCCAACATGGAAAAAACCCATCTCTACTAAAAATACAAAAATTAGCTGGGTGTGGTGGCGTGTGCCTGTAGTCCCAGCTACACGGGAGGCTGAGACATGAGAATCACTTGTACCCGAGAGGCAGAGGTTGCAGTGAGCTGAGATCATGCTACTGCACTGCAGACTGGGTGACAGAGCAAGACTCTGTCTCAACGAATACATAAATAAATGAAAATTATAAGAGAAAAATATATTTATTATTTATTAGGTGAAAATGGATCATCATAAACGTCTTCATCCTCATCATCTTCATGCTGAGCAGATTGAGAAGAAGGAGGAAGAGGAACGGTTGGTCTTGCTGACTCATGAGTGGTTGAGGCAGAAGAAGTAGAGGCGGTGAATAAGGAGGTAGGAGAGACAGGCATATTTGCAACTTTTATTAGAAAAAAATCCATGTATAAGTGGACCTGCACAGTTCAGACCCACGTTCTTCAAGGGTTAACTGTACTTTAAATAAAATATACACCAACAGATTAAATGGAGAAGCAGAAATGAGAAACTCAGCTATTTTCTCATAAGCCAGATATTAAAATGTAAAAGAAGGCCTCTCTTCTCACTACATTTTTTGCTTTGGAAAACAAAGTGATTTTTAATAAAAACATGCTATTTACATTAGCTTACAATGGGTTTATTATTTTTAAATGTTTATAAATATTTAAAAATTTTTTCAGTTTCAAGTTATAATACAGTAAGTATCAGTAGTTATGACCCACATAATTGAAAGTTCTTTGGAGTTCTCAATAATTTTTAAGGCTGTAAGGGTCCTAAGACCAAAAAGTTTGAGAACCCCTGCTGTACAGTATTTCATTGTGAGCAGGGATTTAAATTTAGCAGTCACTTCTGGGAATATTCTTGAGATAGTTAATATTTAGCTTAATTTCCTCATCTGGTTTTTCTGCTTGTGGTTTCTTCTTCTCTGCAATCCCTCTTGCACTGGCCAATCGGATCATTCTCCAACACAGTTCTTACAGTGGCTACTACATCAGGTGCACTCTCTTCTTCCTGGCAGGAATATTTTAGAAGGCTTTACCAAGAATGTGGAATTACACTATGGCTTTAAGAATTTGGCCAGAAAGAGGTCAGAGGAGGACAGAGCAAACTTCAGAAATGTAAGCAAAAGACTTTTTCTTGGATTATGGATATGGTTTCCTGAGCTTCTCAGTGTAACATCATCTTCTAACACCAAATACTATAAAACAATCTTCTTGTGTCTTGGTAAAACATAACCCTGCTTTGTTCTCATCACAGTGCATACCACCACCTGGCTTTTTTGTTTTGTGTTGTTTTTACGTTTTAATTTTCTCTCCTCTCACTGCCTTCCCCAGAATGTAAGCTCCAAGATTGCAGAGACCTTGTCTATCTTATTCTTTGACTAGAACTGTGTCTCAAACACAGTAAGTAGCTAACATGTCTTTGTTTAAATAGATGAATCGCCCAGTCTTTATTTTGCAATTCATTCAGAACTTAGAAAAGTTCTAAGATCTAGAATTTTGTTTTATTTCATGGAGTATTAGGCTTTCCTCCATTTGGGTAGTAACAATAATAAGGTAATACTGACATGAAGTATTTCACAAAGTTTCCAGAGCTAAATTTTGACTTAAAATATTGCCTTTTCTTTTCTTGGTCTTACTCCATTATTGTTAGCCATATAGGCAGTTGCTGGTAAGTAACTTCACAACTCTCCGGAAATGTATGGCTTATAAATAGATTGCCATCATGTTTCTTCAAAATTATTTCTTATTCATGCTCTAAATATTTACCAATTTACATATTTCATTATAAGTTACAATCTCCATTCTGCTCCTTAAATGTTTCAACTCATGCAGATTTTTAGATTTAATCTTCTGTAAGAGAACATACTTCCTGAGATTGACTTCTAAGACTTTTGAAGCTGGAAGGAAATATTTTTATTTAAATGTTGCCGGTATTCTATATGTACCAATACAAAAAGATCTTCAAGATTTGCTATTAATTATATATAAGACAACAAGTAGAACAGTATATATACTTTGTTCTCATTTGTATTTTGTATAGTCCTGTATATGTTTTCATTATGTAGACTAACTCTGATAGAAGACAACATAAAACTGGAAAACATGGTTACCTCTTGGGAAGGGGATGGGAGGACTGGGGAAAGAGGTGGAATGGAACGGGATTGACCTTTTAATATTTTTTTTTCTCTTTTAGAGACAAGGTCTTACTCTGCTACCCAAGCTGGAGTGCAATGGTATGATCATAGCTTACTACAGCATTGAACTTCTGGATTCAAGAGATTCCCCCACGTTGGCCACCCAAGTAGCTGGAACTACAGGCATGTACCATCACACCCAGCTTATATATGTATATAATTATTTTTGGACATACAGGATCTCACTACATTGCCCAAGCTGCTCTCAAACTCCTGGCCTCAAGATGATCCTTCTGCTTCTGCCTCTCAAAGTGCTGGGATTATAGGCATAAACCACCATGCTCAGTCCAATGTTTTTAATATCAGATACTCTTTAGTATCTTTAAGATTTTATACACTGTGTATGCATTAGTTAATTATTAAATTTTAAAGAAGTAAATTATATGGATAAAAGTATATCCACATATACCAATTAAGAGACAAAGATTAGCAGAACATATTAAAAACATGACTCAATTACCTGCTGTCTACAAGGAACTTACTTCAAATATTTGAAATAAATATAACAAGTAAATGGATAGAAAAAGACATATTATGTAAAAGTTAATCAAAAGAAAGTGGGAATAGTTATATTAATATCAGATAAAATAGACTTATGAGCAGAGAAATTTACCAGATACAGAGTGACATTACACAATATTTTTTAAAATTTATTATTATTATTATTTTAGAGATAGCATATTACTCTGTCACTCAGGCTGGAGTGCAGTGGCATGATCATAGCTCACTATAGCCTTCAACTCCTGGCCTGAAGCAATCCTCCTGCCTCAGCCGCTGGAGTAGCTAGGACTACGGGTGTGCACCACCATGCCCGGCTAATTTATTTTATTTTTTGTAGAGATGGGATATTACCTTGTTGCCCAGGCTGGTCTCAAATACCTGGCCTCAAGCAGTCCTCCTACCTTGGCCTCCAAAAGCACTGGGATTACAGGCATGGATCATTGTCTGAGCCTGGCCCTACATAATGTTAGAAGGGTGACTCTACCAAGAGAACATAGAAGTCGTAAATGTGTGTACAAAAAGCAACAGAGTTATGAAATATCTGAAACAAAAACTGGTGAAACTGAAAAGAGAAATAGACAAGTCTACAATTACAGTTGTAAACTTCAATAGCCCTCTTTCAACAATTGATATAATAACTAGGCAGAAAATCAGCAAGAATATAGAAAACTCAACAACACTATCAACCAATAGGATCTAATTGACATTTATGGAACACTCCACCAGACAAACAGCAGAATACACATTCTTCTCAAGAGCCCATGGAACCTATACTGAGATAGATCATATCCTAGACCATAAAACAAACCTCAACAAATTTAAAGGATTGAAACCATACAAAGTGTGTTCTCTGACTACAAAGGAAGAAAACTAGAAATCAACAACAGAATGATAAACAATGCATTTCTAAATAATCCATGGATCAAAGAGGAAGTTCCAAAAGAACTGAATAAAAATGAAAGTACAGCATATAAAAATTTGTGGGACACAGCTAAAGCAGTGCTTAGAGGGAAATTTACAGCATTAAATGCTTACATTAGAACAGAGAAACAGTCTGAAATCAGTAACCTAAACTCCTACCTCAAGAACCTAGACAAAGAAAAGAAAAATGAACACAAAATAAATAGAAGAAAATAAAATTCAGAAATCATTAATCACAAATTAATGTGAAACCAGAAAAACAATACAAAAAATCAATAAAACTAAAACCTCACCCTTTGAGAAGATCAATTACATTGACAAAACTCTAGCAAGACTGACAAAGGGAAAAAAAAGAAAATCCACAAATTACCAATACTAATACAACAGGGAATATCATGACAGATCCTGCAGATATTAAAAAGATAATATGGGAATACTGTGGCAATTCTACATGCAAAACTCTAGCAATTTTGATGAAATAGGCCAATTCCTTGAAAATCACAAAGTACAACAACTAATTCAGAACGAAATAATTTGTGTAGTACAATAACTATTAAGAAAATTGAATTCATAATCTTAAAGTTCTCCCAAAATAAATTATCAGGCCCAGATGATTTCACTGGAGAATTATTCCCAATGTTTACAGAAGAATTAACACCAACTTTACACACTTTCCTCCAGAAAATATAAGATAACATGCCTAATTCATTTTATGAAGCTATTATTACCCTGATATCAAAATCATAGGGAGATAGTACAAAAAAAGAAAATCATTAGCCAATATCACTCATGAAAATACATGTAAAAGTTCTTAAGAATATATAAGCAAATAGAATTCAATAATATTTTAGAGAAATTAAGTATATTCCATGACAAAGTGGGCTAATTTCAGGGATGTAAGGTTAGTTCAATATTTGAAAATCAATCAGTGTAATCCACCATTTAACAGACTAAAGAAAAATATCACATGATCATTCCACTTGAGAATGAGCACTTGAAAAAATTCAACACTAATTCATACCAAAAGCTCTCAGAAAACTAGAAATAGAAGTGAATTTCCTCAACTGGTTAAAGCCACTATTATACTTAATGATGAAAAATTTAACGCTTTCCCTCAAAGATCAGAAATAAAACAAAGACATCTGCTTTTATCACTCTTACTCACCCATATTACTGGAAGTTCTATTCAATACAATATATCAAGAAAAGGAAATAAAAATTACATTGATTAGGAAGAAAGAAACAAGACTAATTCTATTTGTAGGTATAATTGCCTACACAAAAGTTCCTAAGGAATCTACAAGAAATCTCCTAAAAATACTAAGTGAGTTCAACAAGGTCATAGGATAGAAAATGAACATACAAAAATGGATTCTATTTCATTATACTAGCAATGAACACATAAACACCAAAATTAAAAATACAACTTACAATCACTCAAAAAATGAAGTACTTGAATGTAAATTCAACAAAACATAAACAGTATTTATGTGCTGAAAGTTACAAAATGCCGATGAAGGAAATAAAAAAAATCTAAATAGAGAGACAGGCTGTATTTAATGACTGGTAGACTCAACATATTAAGGATATTAATTTTCCCTAAATAGATATATAGGTTTAATCCAATTCCTTTCAAAATCCCAGGCAGAATTTCTGTAGATATGGGCAACATCTTTCTAACATTTATATAAAAAAGTAAAGGAAGAAAAACAGCTTTAAATTTTTTAATAAAGTGAAAGAAATCAGTCTTTTTAATTTCAAGACTTATTATGTAGCTATAGTAATCAAAATTGTATAATATTGGTAGAAGGGCAGACACATATATCAGTGGAACTGAACAGAAAACCCAGAAATAGAGCCAAACAAATATGCCTAACTGACTTTTGATGAAGGTGCAAAAGCAATTCAATGGAGGAAGAACAGCCTTTTCAATATATGGCACTGGAGCAATTGCACATCTACGGGAAAATAAATAAATATGAACCTCAACATACACCTCACATTTTATTACACATAAAAATTAACCCAAAATGGATTGCAGACTAAAGTGTAATTTGCAAAACTGTTTTGCATTCTGTGTTAGAAAAAAATTGGATGAAAATTTTGGGATTGAGTTGTAGGCAAAGAATTCTTAGATTTGTGCTCTCTTTGGCAGCACATATACTAAAACTGGAATGATACAGAGAAGATTAGCATGGCCCTTGAACAAGGATGACACACATATTCATGAGGCGTTCCATAATTTTCAAAATAGACCCAGCTGAGGAATGACTCTCAGAGTTCAAAGACTGGTTGTCTGAACTGACTCAGTCAGACAAATATAAAGAAAAGACAATATCTTAATGAAAAAAAAAACCTCTGAGAATTATGGGATTACATAAATAGACCAAATCTATGACTCATTGGCATCCCTGAAAGAGAGAGAGAAAATAAGCAACTTGGAAACATATTTGAGTATATCATCCATGAAAATTTCCCCAACCTTACTACAGAGGCCAATATTTAAATTCAGAAAATGTAAAAAATGCCTGTGAGATACTGTACAAGACAACCACCCCCAAGACACACAGTCTTCAGATTTTCCAAGACTGACATAAAAGGAAAAATATAAAGGAAGATAGAAGGGGAAGGTCACCTACAAAGGGAAATTTGACAGGCTAATAATGGACTTTTCAGCAGAAATCCTACATGCCAGAAGAGATTGGGTGGGGTGGGCGGGGGGTGCGGTTATATTCAATATTCTTAAAGAAAAGAAACTCCAATAAAAAATTTCATATCCAGCCAAACTAAACTTCATATGTAAAGGAGAAATAAGATTCTTTTCAGACAAGCAAACACTAAAGGAATTAATTATCACCAGACCTGCCTTACAAGAGGTCCTTAAGGGAGTGCTAAATATGGAAACAAAAGACTTACTGGCCACTAAAAAAACACACTTAATTTCATAGACCATTGACACTATAAAGCAACTACACAATCAAGTCTGCATAATAACCAGCTAACAACATGATGACAGGATCAAATCTGCACATATCAATATTAATCTTGAAGGTAAATGTACTAAATGCTCAATTAAAAAGCACAGAGTGGCAAGTTGGATACAGAAGTAAGACCTAACTGTATCCTGTCTTCAAGAGACCCATCTCATACAATGACCCAATAAGCTCAAAGTAAACGGATGGAAAAAAATCTACCAAGCAAATGGAAAACAGAAAAAAAAGGGAGGGGCTCCTATTCTAATTTCAGACAAAACAGACTTTAAACCAACAAATATCAGAAGAGACAAAGGCATTACATAATGGTAAGGGGTTCAATTCAACAGGAAGACCTAACTACCCTAAATATATATGCACCCAACACAGGAGCACCCAGATTCATAAAACAACTTGTTAGAGACCTGTGAAGAGACATAGATAACAATACAATAATAATAGGAGATGTCAACATCCCACCAACAGTAATAAACAAATCATTAAGGCAGAAAACTAACAAAGATATTCAGGACCTGAACTCAACATGTAACCAAATAGACCTAACAGATATCTACAGAACTCTGTACCCCAAAAGAGCAGAACATACATTCTTCTCAGCTGCACATGTCATATACTCTAAAATTGATCATATAATCAGCCATAAGACAATTTTCAGCGAATTAAAAAAAAATCATACCAAACACACTCTCAGACCATAGTGCAATAAAAATGGAAAACAGTACCAAGAAGATTACTCAAAACCATACAATTACATGGAAATTAAACAGTCTTCTCTGGAATGATTTTTGGGTAAACAATGAAATTAAAGCAAAAATCAGGAAATTCTCTGAAATTAATGAGAACAAAGATATAGCATACCAGAATCTCTGGGACACAGTTAAAGCAGTATTAAGAGGAAAGTTTATAACATCAAACACCCACACTGAAAAGTTAAAAAGATCTCATTCATATTAGTAACCTAACATCACACCTTGAGGCACTAGAAAAACAAGAGCAAACCAATCCTAAAGCTAACAGAACAAGAAATAACCCAAATCAGAACTGAACTAAAAGAAATTAAGATGCAGAAAAGCATACAAAAGATCAATAAAACCATAAGTTGGCTATTTGAAATGATAAATAAGATAGATTAACTGCTAGTTAGACTAATAAAGGAAAAAAAAAGGGAGAAGATCCAAATAAACACAATCAGAAATGACAAAGGGGACATTACCACTGACCCCACAGAAATACAGAAAAAAAAAAAAATCAGAGGCTATTATGAACACATGTATGCACACAAACTAGAAAACCTGCACACAAACTAGAAAACCTGCAAGAAAGAGCTAAATTCATGAAAACATACAACTTCCCAAACTGAACCAGGAAGCAATTCAAACCTGGAACAGACCAATAATGAGTTCCAAAATTGAATCCCTAATAAAAAGCCTAACAACCAGAAAAAGCCCAGAACCAGATGGATTCACACTGAATTCTACTAGACACATAAAGAAGAGCTGGTACCATTTCTACTTAAACTTTTCCAAAAAGTTGAAAAGGAGGGACTCCTCCCCAGCTCATTCTATAAAGCCAGCATTATCCTGATACCAAAACCTGGCAGAGACACAACAACAACAAAAACTTCAGGCCAATATCCATGATGAACATAGATGCAAAAATCCTCAACAAAATAATAGCAAACCAAATCCAGCAGTACATCAAAAAGCTAACCCACTGCCATCAAGTAGGCTTTATCCCTGGAATGCAAGGTTGGTGCAACATACACAAACTAATGTGATTCATCACATAAACAGAATGAAAAACAAAAACCACATGATCATCTCAATAGATGCAGAAAAGGCAGTCAATAAAATTCAGCATCCCTTCATGTTAAAAACTTGCAACAAACCAGGCATTGAAGAAACATATTCCAAAATAATAAGGGCTATCTATGACAAACTCACAGCCAACATCCTACTGAATGGGCAAAAGCTGGAAGTATTCCCCTTGACAACAGAACAAGACAAAGATGCCCCCTTTCACCACTCTTATTCAACACAGTACAGGAAATCCTAGCCAGAGTTACCAGGCAAGAGAAAGAAATAAAAGGCATCCAAATAGGAAGAGAGGAAGTCAAACTATCTCTGTTTGCAAATGATATGATTCTATACTGAGAAAACCCTATAGTCTCTGCCCAAAAGCTCCTAAATCTGATAAACAACTTCAGCAAAGTTTCAGGATACAAAATCAATGTGCAAAAATCAGTAGCATTTCTATTCAGTAATAATGTCCAAGCTGAGGGCCAAATCAAGAATGTGATCCTATTCACAATAGCCACAAAAAAATACAATACCTAGGAATGAAGCTCACCAGGGAGAGGAAAGATCTCTACAAGAACTACAAAACACTGCTCAAAGAAGTCAGAGATGACACAAATGAATAGAAAAACATTCCATGCTCATGGATAGGAAGAATCAATATTGTTAAAATGGCCATACTGCCCACAGCAATTTACAGATTCAATGCTATTCCTATCAAACTACCAACGACATTTTTCACAGAATTAGAGAAAACTATTTTAAACTTCATAGAGAACTAATATGAAGAGCCCAAATAGCCACGACAATCCTAAGCAAAAAGAACAAGCCGGAGGCATCACATTATCTGTCTTCAAACTATACCACAAGACTACAGTAATTAAAGCAGCATGACACTGGTACAAAATTAGACACATAGACCAAAGGACCAAAATAGAGAGCCCAGGAATAAAGCCGCACACCTACAACCATCTGATCTTTGACACAACTGACAGAAATTAACAATGGGGAAAGAATTGCCTATTAAATAAACTGTTCTGGGAGAACTGGCTAGCCATATGCAGAAGATTGAAACTGGACCCCTTTCTTATACCATATACAAAAATCAACTCAAGAAGGATTAAAGACTTAAGTATAAAACCAAAAATTGTAAATATCCCAGAAGAAAACCTAGGAAATACCATTCTAGACATAGGCCTTGGCAGAGACTTTATGATGAAGATGCCAGAAGCAATTGTAAGAAAAACAAAAATTGACAAGCGGGACCTAATTAAACTAAAGAGCTTCTGAACAGCAAAAGACACTATCAACAGAGTAAATAGACAACTCACACAACAGGAGAAAATATTTGCACCCTATGCATCTGACAAAGTCTACTATCTATAATCCATAAGGTACTTAACAATCTAAAAACAAATAACACCATTAAAAAGGGGGCAAAAGACATAAACACGTTTCAAAAGAAGATATATACACAGCCACAAAGCATTCAAAAAATTCTCAACATCCCTAATCATTAGAAAAATGCAAATTAAAACCACAATGAGATACTATCCGACATCATTCAGAATGGCTATTAAAATGTTTAAAAAAAAATAGCAGATGATGGCAAGGCTGCAGAGAAAAGGGAGCACTTACACACTGTTGTAAATTAGTTCAGCCACTAATTTCAAGCAGTTTGGTGATTTCTCAAAGTATTTAAAAATAGAGCTACCATTTGACCCAGCACCCAGCAATCTCATATTGGGTATATACCCAAAGGAATATAAATCATTCTACTATAAAGACATATGCACATGTATGTTTGTCAAAGTACTATTCAGAATAGCAAAGACCTGTAATCAACCTAAATGCCTATCAGTCATAGGCTGGATAAAGAAAATGTGCTACATATATACCATAGAATACTACACAGCCATAAAAACAGAATGAGATCATGTCCTTTGCAGCAACATGTATGGAGCAGGAGACCATTTTCCTAAATGAACTAACACAGTAACAGAAAACCAAACACCAAATGTTCTCACTTATAAGTGGGAGCTAAACATTGAGTAAACACAGACACAAAGAAGGGAACAAGAGACACGGAGGCCTACTTGTGCAGGGTGGGAGAAGGGTGAGGATCAAAAAACTGCCTATCAGGTACTATGCTTATTACCTAAGTGATGAAATCATATGTACACTACCCTCCCATAACACACAATTTATCTACAGAACAAACCTGCAAATGTACCCTGAGCCTGAAATAAAAGTTTAAAGAAAGAGTTCTTAGACTTGACACCAGAGGCACAATTCATAAAAGGAAAAATTGATAAAGTGGGCTTCATCAAAATGAAAATGTTTGCTCTGCAAAAGACCATAAAGAGGCTGAAAAGACAAGCTACAGACTGGGGAGAAAATACTTGCAAACCACATATTTAACAAAGGGCTAGTATCCAGAATGTATAAAGAACTCTTAAAACTCAAGAGTGAAAAAACAAACCATTGAATTAGAAAATGAACAAAAGAGATGGCGTATTTGTCCTTGTCACGTCAGTTGTTTGAGAAGACTTGAATTTAAAGACTATAAAAAGGATATGCAGATATAAGCTTTACCACATACTGGAAAGGAAATGTAAAAAAGAAACAGGTTGAACTTTGGAATTCATACTCATGATGCTATTGAGGACTAAATAATCCAGAATATATAGATGCTGGACTAATAAATTCTGATGCAAATTATGTGTAGCCCTGAAGATCATAGGCCAACCTCTATAGGTACAGCTGGAGTCTTCCTGATATGGTATTACCACTGTCAATCCTAGGAGAAGCCTGAACTGAAAATATACAGATTCTGGGGGCAGGGGCAGGGGGACTTTCACTGGAGAAGGAAAACTCACTTCTTTCTGTGGGCCTCCTGGGAGGATTTAAATACTCCCAGACTGAGCTGGAGGGTGAGCAGCAGTCCCTTTAGCAACCCTGGGACAGGGCTAGAGGATGTCCTGGATGTCATCTATTCTGTGTGGTACTTCCCAACATTATGCCTGACTACACCCCATGCTCCATGAAGTTCTGTGGGAACTTGTAGCCTGGTTTCTACTGTGTGGAATTAGTAGAGGACCTAGTTTTCACTTTGGACAAAGTAGCTAAGTTTACAAAGAGAACCCCTGTCCTCCTTACCCAAGAGTCATAGAGATGGTAAAATCATCTTTGTGCATCAGTGTAGACACCTCACAAAGGTCATTACAACAGAGATAGCTGTGTGGTAGCTTTGTAGAAAGCCTAAATAAAACATCAGGAAACAGCTGCTCTATCCTGGACACACTCAAACCAGCACCTGCTTGGTGCTGGAAAGCGGATGAAACCTATGAGGGAAGGGGCCAGTTTCCTGCAATCAGGCTGGTCTGTGAGACTGGGGTTCATATCACTTGGGTATTAAGAGGAAATAAGAAAATATATGGCAGTCATTGGTTGTTGAGACTGGGACATTTGGGTTTTACTAAGTTAAGAGAAAAGATCACTCTCCCCTTTTCAATAACACAATGTCTTTTCATTAGAAGCCTGAAATAGCAGGGTTTTTCTCTGCTGTTCCATTCCTTCGAAACCCTACTCATAATTAGCTTCCCACAACTCCTCCTAGGTTTCTTCCACCATTACTCATCAGCCCGGTCTATTTGTTTTACAGATTATGTTTTCTCAACCTCCATCAGTTTCACCAAGTTTAGTACCAACTTTTTAAAGTCCATATTGCACATCTTTGGGGAACGTAGGTACTTCTCCCTTATTATTATTATTAAATGCTTCCAAGTTCATCTGATATATTCACAGAGGTTCTTAATCTGAGATATGTGGCTGTGAGGGTTTGTGGATAAAATCAAGTGATCCATGAGTTTAGGCAGGAAAAATATTGCATATATTTATTTTAATTAACCTCTAACTGAAATTTAGCATTTTCTTCTATTATTAATGTAAGCAGGAAATCACAATGAAATAAAGAGAACAGCAGCTACTTTTATATTGCATTTTAATTGTTTCAGGTATATCAAATTTCATTTATGCTCATCACTAGTTAAAATTAGATGTGCCACTAGATCAAATGTTTACAAATAAACACATATGTCACAAATTTAAAAAATATTTTTGTAACCCTTTCAATATAATTTGTGTCCTTTGTAACCCTGTATTTTCTATGAAAAAGAACATATTATTCTGAGAAGGGATCCACAGACTTAACTAAGCTGTCCAAGGAAATAATTCTACAAAAAAGCAAAAAAAAAATTTGTGGAATAGCTAAAAGTCTCTACACCATAATAATGAAAAGATTAAAAGCAACCTAAATGCCCAATAACAGAAGACTGGTGAAACAATGCAGTCACTAAACATAATGCTGTAGAAGACTATTTAAGGGCATATGTGGAAAGGTGATCACGATATATTATGTAAAAAAAAAAGGTTGTGCATAATGTGATCTTTTTTTGTAAATCAAACACAGTCACATATACACCTACACCTAAAAAAACAGAAAATAGATGTCAAGACACACACAAAGATGCTAAGGTGGTTATTTACAGATGGTGGGAACTGTGAGTAATCTTTTTGCTTATCTCAGTTGTAGAAATTTTATATGAACTTGTAATTATTTTTGCAAGAAAAATCAATAAAAATTATTATCTTTAAAATAAATGAAGTCCTAAGAAAGGATTCAAAAAGATATATAATTCTTAATAATGATCAACTATGCACTCATTCATTCAACAAATACATCTCAGTTCAACAGTCAATATTATAGGAGGAATTAATGCTATCTACTGGATTCACTATCATTAGGGAAAAAGATCTAATTTTCATACCACTGATTTAGCAGCTGAATGAGTAAAACTTTTGGTTAAGCACCATTTATCAACTTTCCAGCCAATGCAACCTAAAGTCAATGCTATCTTTTGCACAAATACCAGATATTCACGCCTCTCAAAAACTGTCCCACCAATCAATAATAATTTTGTCTTCAGAAAGTTTTGTTTTGTTTTGCTAATTTGTATTTTTGTTTTTTTGTCTTATAACAAAGCAAAATTAAATAAATCCTCTCATACAAGTCATCCTATTAAAAATAAGCATAATCTATTACAACTCTCTTCTGAATTTACATTTCCCATGAGAAAAACTCTTTCCTCCACAATTATGTCATATTTTATATAATGTTGAATAATTCTGAATCATAATGTCACTGGAAAAAATATTCATTGTTATTTTATTTTTATATGTAGGTATTAGGAATTCCAAAATGCTACTGGGATAAATATGTCTATCATACCCTTTATATGTTAATAATATCATATTAACTGGAAAAAAATGTATTAGGTTTTAAGAATGCTCCTAAGTGAAGATTTTGTGACTTTAAAATACAACTTTTCTAAAATTAGACATTCATCTAATATTCAAGATAAAGTAATTGGCCTGATATCATTGGTTGTATTCATAAAAGCACCAGCATTTACATACAAAATGAATGTCATCTCCTCTATGTAGTCACCTTGGGAGACCTCAGACTAGTTTCAATGACATTTCCCTTTGCTCAGAACAATTTTAGGACCTCTCTTTTGGAACTGTCTTTAAGCTATTTCATCTTATTTTATTTTATTTTATTTTTATTTCATCTTATTTTAAACAAATATCTCAAAAGATAGCCAAACTTTGCCCCTTAAAGTTGGATTTGTCTAATCAATAATTAAAAACAACCTACCGTAGGAGATGGGGCCCTGGGGGCATCAAGGAGAAAGAAGTAGACAGGACAGTAGATTGGGGGATGCACTGTGACACTTTATATTAGGGGTAATATTCAACACATTCAACAATAGCTAAGGCTGAACACCGAGCAGTCAGAACTGGTGGTATTGGAGCAGGGACCTGGAGGACCTTAACCCAGATCCATGTATTAACTCTACAGTAGCTGGATTACGAGGTGTTTGAAATGTTCTAGGTGGTCCCATAGGGAAAAATGTAGGAGTGGGGATGAGTGGACACATTGGGGTTTCTGAGCTGTGGCATTTACCAACCAATAAAGGAGAATATGGGTTTTTAATATCCACTGAATATTGGTCCTTTCAAAAAGTAAAGTGGTCATTGCTGTTTCTGTGTGGCTCGTGCATTGATTCTGAAGGCATTGCCCAAGAGTTGTTTGAAAGTGTCGAGCAACAGCAGCAATATTGGAATTAATGTGCAGGATCCCAGGATAACTATTTTGGAGAGTACTATTTAGCTAAATATTTATTCTCTAAACTCATTAGAAACAGGCTCTATTCCTTTTTCGTTTTCCTGCACTAGCACCAAACACAACACTTAGCACATAGTTGCTAAATAAATAGTTGTTGAGTGAATGGCATATTTGTTAAAGAAAAATAACTTCAAAGTGAAATCTCATAAAGCTTTTAAAATTATTTTTATTTTTTATTATAGTAGGAAAATAATTCATTTTATTGCAGATAATTCTAAACATCTCTTTGAATAGACTAATTCACCAACATTTATTCCTGACTCAAAAATACTTTGGATATCTGCCTACTTTTCTCTGGAAAGCAGTCCTTTTCAATGCTCTTTTATTATTACATGACTTGAAAAGCCACACGTAGATGTGAATCTGTGTTTAACTCCTTTAAATTCCTATTATTTCTAGCCAAAAAGAACCTTCCTTTATAGTTTTATAGTAGATCAGACTTAAGCTGGGGATAACATACTGTGGCTGCTGGCCAACATTTATTAGGCTAAGGGTGTCTAGTGCTGTGCTAAGCATTTAATATGTCATTTACTTCTCCTAACAACCCCTTTACAGTAAGGAAACTAAGCCACAGAGGAACTAAGCAATTTCCCCATATTATACAGCTAGTAAGTGAGGAAGACATGTTTTGAATGCAGGCAATTAGATTCCAGAGTTGAGCATCCTTGATCAACACAGTATAAGAAGAAGCAGGAGCTTATTTGTGTTCAATTAACAGGTAAGAATTAAAGGATATCCTGTATCTAAAAAGTACCTTAGAGCTCCCATTACACTCATTATCTGTTTATTGAACACATATGATGTTCCAGGTACTGTTCTAGGTTCTGGGAAGGCAAGTAAGGGACACAGTCTCTTTCCGGTTGGCAGATATAGCATCTAGAAACTTACTCTAGTGTTCTAGGGCAACTTTTTCCACTACTCCAAATGGGGGAAAACTGACTAGCCCTTTTTCGGTTTGAATTCTGGATTCTGAGCAATCATCATCTTAAATGAATTTCAAAATAGACATATCTATAGAGAGGAGGACATCTACTGCTTTCTTCCTTCTGGATTCCCCTGGGGCAATATTTGATCTCCTTTGACATCCTATCCTTATAAGGATAATAATAGAGAAAGGAGAAGGTGGAAGATGGGAGTGAAGCACATGGGTGATTTGGGGTACAGGTATCATGCAAACTTCCCATTCACACGGGCAGCTTTGTCCTGTTACTGCAGGGTTACCTCTGAGAAAGCTGGTGTTCAGCGCCGATGCCCCCAGACTAGCTGTTTTATCTACAAATATGTTTTAGAAGGCATTTCCAGTTATAGAGTGGCCTTATTTATTATCATATTCAAGAACAATAGTAACAGTAACTGAACTTTGTACCTTTCTAGACTAAGTTGTACTTTAAAGGGAGGTTAATAAGTAACCAAAGAGAAGGCTACCGGAGAACTAAAGCTGGAATAGTAAACTGTACTAAATGCTCAAACAAGCTGAGAGAGAAAAATATTTTCACCATAAAATTATTGACATATGTTGAAAGGTTGGTCTGCTGTAGGTGGAGTTAGTGACCCCATCCCATCCCTGCTCTGCTAAGATTTCAAGGTAAAATAAGAGTTTTCTAACAACAACAAAATACAGTTATTTCCTCTTTTCTCTGAAAACCAAAACTCTGAATATTCAAAGTCATCCTAATGTTCTCAATTACTTATTTTTAAATTTATTTTCTTATTGTGTAATATGTGGCCTTAAATTTTTTTTTCTGGAACAAAATTCATTATGTATTTTAAATAGAAGCAAACAGACCAAAAAAATAGGTACATCAAGAATTGGGAGAGTCCTCTGTAAAGATTTGGTCTATGTAAACCTACAACTTCCTTTGGGAGAAATCATATTTAAGCTGTGTTCGGTCACTTTCACTTTAGTGTGAAGGAATATTTGAATCTTTCTGAAGAACAGATTTTTACTAGAAGACAGAAAGTAATATTTCTCATCCTTTTTTGAGAAGTAAATGTTTCCAGTCCTTTCCTTTGTTCTTTTTTCTTGTTCTTGGCCCAAGAACAGGACTGCTTTAACTTAAACAATGAACACCAAAGCCTTTCTTTCTCAAAAATAAAATGATGAGATATATCCATCTTCTATCTTGTGAGAGAGAAATCATACTTAAATCTCAAATTTAAAGAGAATCTCTCCTACACACTTTTATTATACTCAAGGGAAAATAATCAAGTTGACCAGCCTATAGTCACATAACCCATGAGAATAATGTCAAAGGGTTTTTATCAAAGAGATTATAGAAAACCAGTCCCTTTGGCTCATGGAGTATGTCTGGTTTTTCTTTAAACCTTCACCTCTTCTGTGTTTAAGTCATAAGACCAGTAAGACATGATGCTCAGAGCTTACTATTTTAAGTCTAGGAATGATATGGAACATGAAAAATGGACATGACAGCACACAATTGTGCTTTGGGGAAACCATGATGTAATATCCTGAAAAACAAATTCAAGTCATAAAAATGTAGTTTACTGACCCCTGGAGAGAACTGTATCCACAGGTCCGGGAATGATGTCTTGTCAAACACCCTCACTCCACGTCTGAGCCCTTTTGCTCCATGTGGTTTTTCCCTCAGGGATCATTATTGGGCTTCATAATGATTAGTTTGTGTATGAAAAAGGAAAGTTCAAGACTATAATTTCATACATACTTAGAAAAAAATCATATAAAGAAAATTCAGTAGTGAGACAAGTAATCTCCTGGAGCCTGCTGTGACCAAGAGGATACCTATGAGAAGGACAGGCTGATAAATGAATGTGCCCAGCACACAAGGAGGAGGAGAGCCATGTGGAGGAAAGCCTTGTGTCCCCACAGCTTGGGGAGCGCTGCTTTCCTGGTCCCCACTTCAGAAACAATGTAAGTATCCACAGAGAAGCAGAGAGCAGCTATTAAAGCAAATAAGTATGAGACAGCCTAAGTCAGAAATTCACTGACAAAGGGAGGGGCAAAGGGAAAGGGCATATTTCTTTTAATTTTTGCAACTATTCACTTATAGAGATACTTATCAAAAACAGCCTAAGTGAGAGGTACACTAAATGAAGTCCAGAGGTAAAACCAGATTGAGCATGGAGGGGATAGAGACAGGAGGAGGGCCTGGGAGGCAGGATGTGTGACCAGTCTCTCATCAGCCCATCTCTGCAAAGGCCGCCTTCTCTACAGATTGCCAAGTCATCTCACCTGGAGAGGCAGCATCGCCTAGAGAAGGGAAAAACCTGTCTAATTTCTAGGTTGGGCCAGCGTGGTGATTCACACCTATAATCACAACACATTGGGAGGCCAAGGCAGGCTGATAGCTCAAGCTCAGGAGTTTTGACACTATATTGCCTGGGCAATATAGTGAGACCCCATCTCTACAAAAAATACAAAAATTAGCCAAGTGTGGTGGTGCACACCTGTGGTCCCAGCTACTTGAGAGGCTGAGATGGGAGGATCACTTGAGCCCAGAAGGTTAAGGCTGCAGTGAGCCATGATCCTGCCATTGTACTCCAGCCTGGGTGACAAAGCAAGACTGTCACACACACACAAAAAAATGTCTAGGTTGGCCCCTCACCTGGAGCCAATTACTTAATGTCCCTGTGCCTCAGTTTTCTCATTTGTGAAGGGGGTAGCAATAGGACATGCCTCAGTTTGAAGATACCTACAACAATGCTTGGCACATAGCAATGGCTCACTAAATGTTAGGTTTTATTATATTCTTGTCAACAGTCATGTCAACATACGACTTCCCTTTTAAAAAAAGAAGTGTTGAAAATCTGTCCAGCCCCTTCCAGCTGTACTTAAGGTTTAATGAAAAGGAGAATGACTTCCCCACTTTCCCTTCCTTGGGTAAAATAACTTGAGGAGTTTTCTACAGTTTTTAAAATTTGTATTCATCTCTGTATTCCTCTACAACAAAAATAAACCCCTCAGAAAAGCAGCATGAAAACTGACATCTGCGTGTTTTTCAGAGTAGACAGCTGAGTAGGGGAGAAGTTGGGAGACTGTGTTCCACTTGGGACAGAAAATTAAGCAGGAGAAACTGGGAAAGAGAAGGCTGTGGGAAAAAATAAGGGAATGGCAGAAACAAGCAAGGGTTGCTCTCTGGATTTGAACTGGGACAGATGCCTTTAGCCTGATAAAAAGTAAGTTGCCCTGACCTATCACCTAACCCGGTGGTTCTGAGCTCAAGGAGGCAGTGGCCTAACAGCAGGGAGAAATGAAACTAATGAAAGTGCTGAACATGTGAACATAAAGGCCAAAAAATACAAGTTCAAGAATCATTTTGTAAGAGTCATAGTTGTGGCCTTCTTAATTGAGAATGTCTGTTAAAAGAGGCATATTCATGATTTTCATATCATTCCTTCAGTCAAAAGCATTACTCTAATAAGCAGTCATCATCCCTAGACTGAACTAATGTAACAGTCTGCTAGCTGCTCTTCCTCACTCCACTCTTAGCTGACCATGCTCGATTCTCTAAACAGAGCCTGAGTTATTTTTATAAGATAAAAAGGTATTTCACTCCCTGATTAGATATATCACATTTAGAAGAAATTCAAATTTCTACCGTGACCTGCAGGACCCTGCGTTATCTGGCCCTTGCCTTCTTTTTGACCTCATCTTGTATCCCCACTTTTTTATTGTAACGGTGCTTCACTGTTCTTTCATTCCCCAGCTGGTTCCTGCCTCAGGGCCTTTGCACTGGCTATTTCTTCCTCACAGCTGCTCACAGTGCTCAAGTCCTGGCTCAAGTATTACTACCTTTTTCAAACTACCCCATCTATAAAAGGCTCCCCCAATAATCTATCACTAACTAAAATTCTTATGTATTTATCTGCAAGTTTATTATCATTTTCCCCTTATTAGAACATACGTGAGATCAGGGATCTTATTTACTCAGCACTTAGTATTTTGTGCCTGGCATAAAGTAAGCTCCCATTAGGTATCTGTTGAATAAGTAAACAAATAATAAGCAAACAGAACCTAGACGCAAAAAGAAGAAAAGAAAAATGTGTTTATGAGAATATACTTCAAAAGGTTTGAATGGCTGAAAGGGTATTAGGAAAATTTTTCTCTGTGGTTAGAAATTCAAAAAATGTTAAGCAATGATCTAGATATTCAATTGATTGATGGCTTCTGTCTAGTTTCTTATGCCTGTAATTCAGATCCCAGCCTTCCATTAATGGTTGAAAACCTTTCAGACAATCTACACAGAGTTTGGGATAGAAACTTAATAGAGATAACTGTCCAGTTCAAAACTGCAGACTCTGAAAACCAGTCTATCAGAGGAACATGGAGCTATGCTTCCATTCTGCCCTATTCAATTACTAGAATAGTCACTCTAACTATTGAATGTAACAGAATGAAAATTCATGAAAATGAAAAATCATTTCAAAATAACAAAGGACCCAATAAAAATGATCTTTCAAGGGAATTTAATGCCATATTAAATGCCTGTATTTAATGCCATATTAAACTAATATGTGATTTGAGACTGGAAAGAATGAGTTGCTGATCTTGTAAATAAAAAATTTTGGCATGAACATGTTATCTGTTTGGCAATTTGCGCATCCATATTTTATAATTCGGTCATGACTCCTTTTCATTATGTGGGTCTAATTCCTCTATCAAGCTCAAAGTAAACCTTGTTTCATAACAATCAAATGCTTTTGGTTTGTGTTGATGTTCAGATAACTGATTGTTTCAAATATAACTTGTAAGTAACCAATAATAAAATGTTATATTGAGTAGATATTCAAATATTGATGCCATGACAAATTGCTATCTCTTTAAGAATTTTATAGAATCTGTCATCACAGATACTTCAAGATATTGCAGTTCACTTTGTCTGTTTTCCAAGGCTACAGACAACTTAACAGAATTTCCTGGGAGCTCACTGAACATATGGATTCCTCAGCCCTGTCCATGGAGATTCTGTTCCTACAGATCTAAGTTGAGGTCCAGGAATCAGTATTTGTTTAAAAGGCTTCCAAAGTCTTATTAAGCCTTGCCAGGGTTAGAAAATAGTGATTTTATTCCAACCTCCAACTCACTCCATCCACATTCCTAATGAATTGTGACTCAGAAGTGCGTTGGGCTCTTCTGGAGGAGGGTAATCACATCTCTAGTTTGTTAACCTTTATTGGAAAAGTCTGATTGTCCAAAGCTTTTGTTTATATTAAACTGAAATGGGTCTGCCAGCAACTTCTTCAAATAGGTCTAGTTCTGCCCTCTGGCATAACAAGGATTATTATATATGAAAGCCTCTCGTGTATTAATATAGCTTTCGGGTCCCCCACAAGTCTTTTCCTCTACAGCTAAACAGCTGGTTTCCACAACTGTTCTCAAATCTTTTATCATCCAAGGTATGCCTGCATCTTACTGAACCACCCATGCACTCTTTCCAAGGCTTTCCTCTCCACCACTGCCAGAACTAGGTCCCTAAACCAGTTTATGGGCCACTTGGCCCTGCACAGCAATGGAGTGGCATGTACCCTACACTGTGGCCCTCAAATGCTGATATGGCAAATTATGCCACAATATGAGGAAATTGTCACCAGTCCATGGTGAAATGAGAAAAATAAATAAGAACATTATGGCTAAGTTTATTCAATCTAAAAGATTGTACTTTCTATATCATGTCCTGCTCCAGTCCCTTTTTAAATTTAATTTCTTTTTTTAAAAAATGAAACTATAAGGATAAAAGATAGTTTGCTAGGTTTGTTATAATAAAAAACCAGCAATCCTATGTTGATGAACTTCTATTTCTTTTAGAATTGTATTTATCCTTGAAGACTGAAATCTGGGAACCAGTGCCGTAGCTGTGTTTCCTTCGCTGATACACCAATGTTCTCTAATTCTACCTCTGCTTCTTCAACACCCATCACATCATAAGATACCATGGCTCACAAATTATTAGAATCTTAAATCATTAAAATCACCTGTTTTAAGAACATGCAGATTCCCAGGGCCCATCACCAGAAATGATGGTTCAGTAGGTCTGAGGCGAGTCTCAGTATCTGCATTTTTAAAAGCTCCTCAAATGATTCCAATGATTATGCAGGTTTGGAAAGTACTTTCCTGATGTGCATTTACTCAGTGTGTCTCTTCTATGTATGTATAACTTAATATCATCAGGGAACAGGGTTCAAAGAGCAGGAGTCTAGTCAGGTGTATTCAAGCAGCCAGGGAGATCTCGATCTGTAAATGTTTAGCATGCTTTCTTTTAGGTATGGTCATATCTGCAATTCTTATCCTCTGCTCCTCTTTTAGTCTTTCTCTTCTCAGGCCAGGTGTCCTCTGCTTTAGGCTTAGCTATGATTGGTCAACCTGCTCAACTCTACTTTTCCTCCTTCTTCCTAAAAAATTAATGAATCCAATACATTAATGCCAAAACCCTTGGGTTTTATCAATATTTCTGTTAAAAAGTATTATCCAGAACTGGACATAATACTACATAATAATACATAACAACCCCTTCATCTGGATGCAAACATCTATTAATATAGCTTAAGATCACTTTCACTTTTACAGAAGCAACATCCTGCTGATGTTATTTTGATGTTTGGACCAATCCAAACGATCTAGCTTCACCTGAATTCCAACAACCAGATCTCCTTCTTCCAATCCCACTGTTACTTAAAAATACAACTTTGAGTTATACATTTATTCAAGTTATACAACCCCAAGTTACAAATTATATCAGATTGATTTTAGTATCTTTTTGAGAAATCATAGTCATTTTGAATTTTGCCATACAACACATTGAATCTCTTTTCCAGAGAGTATCTTCTGTAATGGGTCATATGTAAACTTGATAAATACAACATCAATGCTGCCATTCAAATAATTGATAATGTATTTTTCAACAGGTTAAAAGGATTATTTCCTAAAGTTTTCCCTCCCAGTATCTTGTTCATCCAGCTATGAAATCACCTACCTATATTCTCATCTGTATCATATTTAAATCTCTACAGTTCCCAGCAGGACATAATACAAATGGTCACAATAAATATCGCATGATATCATAGTAAATATACATTAGTTTACATTAAAAGATAATATGAAGCATTTTTTTCAAATACATCATTAAAACATACTTCACTGCATCTGTAACATTCCACAGACCTCTAAGAATGCTATCAGAAACAAAAAAAAGGAGAAAGGAATACTGGTAGTTTGACATATGCTTAAACTATATTGACAATAAAAATTTTTCCATAAGCTCTTAAATTTTCTGATTAAACGCATGTATTAATTTTTATTTACTGGAAATCAACATTAAGATTACTAGTTAGTAATTTTCATAATCTACTATCTACCTCCTATAAGAGTTACAATAGGCTACAATGTACTATGTTAATAACCCTAAAAATCTCAGTGGCTTACGACAAACATGTATTTCTCATTGTGATTTATACCCATTGTGCCGCTCTAATTGATGTCACATTCATTCCAGACCCCAGGCTGAAGAAGCAGCCCCTATCTGGAATATGCCACTGGTCTTGTGGCAGAGAAAGAAGAAAGATGGCAGAAACACAGTGGTTCTTAAGGGTTTTGTTTGGAAGTAGCTCTTGCTTGGAATGTCACTCCTCACGTTCCACTGGCCCCAGCAAGACACATGGCCAAGTCTGACGTTGATGGGGTAGGAAGTATAATCATCCCATAAAAAGAGGCCCCACTGAAAGGTGCCTGCAGAAAAAAGTAGCAAATATTTTAAGCACTTAATGCAACCTATCACATCCTTCCTTTTGAAAACTGGGGTCATATGTACCTTTCTCCATTCTTTTGAATTTTTCCCATTCTATAAAATTTCTCAAAAGGATATGACAGTTCTATGTTCATCCCAATGAGATCGTTTATTCCTAAAATGTGATTTGTCTGGGCCTAGAAGTTTGAATTCATCTAAAATATTAAAGTTATTGTTAATCTTCTCTTATCATGCCTGTAAAGACATCTTAATGCATTAATCTTTCCATGTTGTCAGCTTAACAATCATTATTCTTGGTATAGACAGAGGAAAAGCAGAAGTGCAATGTTTTCTTTTAACATGATACCATCATTCTCAAGCATTGGACCTATAATTTTCATCTATCTATTGTTCTGAAAATAGCTATAAAAATTGCTGCTGCTGTCTCTAGTGGTTTTTGTGAGCCTCAGCTAATCCTTGACTTTAACTCTCCTGAAATTCTCATTCTATTCCCTTATATCCTCCTTAGTTATATGTTTTCTCATCTATAATTTACGTAAAGGCCCTCCAGCCTTATTAGACAACTTGGAGCACAAATATGCTGGGTTCTTTACCCACTTTCCCATTTTTTGTTCCATTGAAAATATTTTTAATTATGTAGTCAGAATTTCGTAATTCAGCCATTCTTGTCACCGTGAAATTATATTTGTTTTTTGACTCTTCTTAAAATATCTTTATTTTTTAAAAAAATTCCATCAGCTGGCTGGGCCCAGTGGCACACGCCTGTAATCCCAGCACTTTGGGAGGCCGAGGTGGGCACATCCTGAGGTCAAGAGATTGAGACCATCCTGGCCAACATGGTGAAACCCCATCTCTACTAAAAATACAAAAATTAGCTGGGTGTGGTGGCGTGCGCCTGCAGTCCCAGCTACTCGGGAGACTGAGGGAGAAGAGTCGCTTGAACCTGGGAGGCAGAGGTTGCAGTGAGCCTGGTGACAGAGCGAGACTCCATCTCAGCTATTATTTGATACTCCATCTTTATTATATCCTCACAGTTTATTTGCTAGTGACATAATTATGGGAAGCAATGTAGCAGAGAGGCTAAAAGCTTAGTCTCTGGAGATGAAATTTGAATCTTGGCTATTTTACTTATGAGTCATTTAACCTTTCAGGCAAGTCTCTTATCTTTTTACTCAACTGTAAAATGGGGACAATTATTAGTACTTTCCTTTTACTGTTATTGTTAGGACTGAATGAATTAATATATGTAAAGTACTTAGAACAATGCCTGGCATATAAGTAACCTCAAGTGTCTGTTAATATTGGGACATATAGTCAAAAGTGCCTCAGGCCATGGTAGTTTTTCTGCTTATGCTGAGATACAGAAGGTACTATTTCTTACAGTCTTGTAGAATCCCATTCCTCTTTTCCAAGAATAATTTCCTTTAGCACATGCTAAAATACTCAGCAAACTGGAAGCCAGCATCCCACAGCACAAATATGGGAAAGGAGTTCTAGTTCAAGATGGTAAGCTCCATGGACTACTGTGCAGCCATATAAAAAGAATGAAATCATATCCTTTGAAACAACATGGTTGCAGCTGGAGGCCATTATCCTAAGCGAATTAATACAGGAACAGAAAACCAAATACCCCATACTGTCATTTATAAGTGGGAGCTCAATATTAGGTACTCATTGACATGAAGATGGCAACAATAGACACTGGGGACTACTAGAGGAGAGAGGAAGGAAGGGACAAGGGTTGAAAAACTAGCAGATACCATGCTCAGTACCTGGGTGACAGGATCATCCATCCGTACCCAAACCTCAGCATCATGCAATATACTTAAGTAATAAACCTGCACATGTAAATCCTGAATTTAAAAAAAGGTTGAAATTAAAAATTAAGGATGAAAATAATAAACCTATGAAGGATTACACTGCCAAAAATAAATTTTAAAAGATGGTGAGCTGAGGACACAGGTTGCCGCAAAAAGACAATAAAGAAATTCAAAGGGGAATGAGGCCTTAACAGCAAAAAGAAGAGAGATGAATCAACAAATACCAAGGAATAGAACACAGATAGAATCCTGCGGACATGTGAAATGGAGTATGGGAGGCTGCAGCAGAGACAGCAGAAGGGGCCACAGCAAAGATGGCGCCTAATTCCCCAGTGGGAACTCTGTGGAAGGTTCTTGGCACAGAGTGGGCAGGCAGAGTCAGGGAGAGTGAAGACAGGGTGTCACTCAATGTCCTTCATTAAAGAACCTACACTTTCTGATCTCCCTTCCCCACTCACACACACTGAACATACCCCAGGACTTCTGATGCAGAATAAAAGGAAGCCCAGCATTCACTTTGCAGGATAAAACCAGCGCAGGCACCTAAAGATACTGAATGAGCTGCCTGAAAAAAGTACAGGCTACTAGAGACAGGCCTAGTTCCCCAGCCCCACCCTGGCTGCCCCTCAATCCCCCAGTGCAAATTCTGCATACTAAGCCCTTCCTGCATACAAAGAATCTTCAATTCAGGGCAGAGCAAGCTGGAGAAAGAAACTACCTATCAAGCAGCCAAGAAAAATAATACCCCCAACTTGGAATAATCAATCTAAACATTTATTCTAAAATAAGAACTGATAAGCAAGGACTACCAGACATACGAGGAATACCAATAGCATTAAAGAGAAAGATCAAGATAAAAACAAGAGCAGTTGACCCAGGATAATATAGTAAACATGCAAGAATAGGAGAAAACTTAAACTAAACAATTCGAATTTGACTCCTTGTGAGTTTTTAAATAATGTTAAAAACAAAAACATGAATCTATAAAAATGTGATAGAGAACAATAAAAACTAGCTGTTAAAAGTTTTTTCCAATGCAAAAATCAAAAATTTATAAAAAAGCAGTAAAATAAAAAGTGTCTCAGAACATGGAAAGGAAACACAAAAAGATGAAACAGATGACAGAGAAGATAAGAATCATAAAGTATCAATCCACAAAGTTCAATGCTCAACCAATAGGGGTCCCAGAAAGCAAACAGAGAAAATAGAGGAAAGTAAATTACTTTTTTGCAAAAAGGAAGAAAATATCTCAAAGCTGAAGGAAGACATAAGCTATCAAACTGAAAAGGCCACTGAATATTTGCTCAGCAGGATGAATTTAAAGGAACTGATATTTAGACATATATTGAGGAATAAAGACAAGAGGGCACTGGAGCAATATCATCAGTGCTCTGAGGGGAAAGTTTTTGAACCAGGAAGTATATCCCCAGCCAAATAGCAATCAAATCTGAGGACAAGCAAAATAATTTTCAGGAACAAAGAAAAAGGACCATTATCCACCTAGCCCTCCCCCTCACCAAATCCTCTCTGATGAAATTACTTGCAAACATACTTCAACAAAGCAAAGGCGAAAACCAAGAAAGATGAAGATGCGGGATATAGGAAACAGTGGAAAAATCCAAAAAGAAAATAAAAAGAAATCCCAGGGTAATGGTTCATAGCAGACATAGAAGCAACATCCAAATTAAAATAGAAAATCAGCAGGCTATGAGAAGATTGTTGATAAAATATACTGAGTCTTTAACTGAGAAAATGAGCACAAATCTGAAACATTTCAGTGATAGAGTGAAGAAGCTATGTTTCTTCTCTCAACCAGAAAAAGAAATGGAAATTAAAATTTAGTGTACAAAAACATAAGTTCTAAATATGAAGCAATAAAAATGTGATACACCTTTTAAAAAGTGTAATAAAAGACAATTTATTTGACTTTGATGATAAACACACTATTTATCAGTGTTATAACATTAAAACCATGAAAAGAAAGTATAATCTAGCACCTTCTTCAACTCCACAGTACTCAATACTTATACAGTTCTGAAGGTAAAAAACAAATTTCATTGGCTTTAAAAATCAATTATAGAAAATTTAATAACATTTTCAGAATAAAATGTAAAATGTGAAAGAAAAGGTATAGCTGATGGATATTAAAGGGGGGAGGGAAAGACACAGGTTTTATTATTACCATCTTACATGGTATTCACTCAACAGATATATCTAAAGTTGAGGAAACAAGAAATGGGATAGACAATTATCACAGACATAGAAAAAGTTACAACCAAAAACAAAGAAAAACTAAAATTAATAACATAATATCAAACATTGGGAGAAAGAATGGGAAAAAAGTTGAGTAGTGTTTCAATAGGTTAAATCCACAACATTTAGAGAAGAAAATCATCACTCATATTTAAAGTGGACTAATCAAGAAATAATAATATAACTTATTACCAAATTTATGGAAAGATCCATTGGAAAAAATTAAAAATGATTTTAACTCAGGAGAATGAGATTTGCAAAAAGGGCAGAAAACAGTATATTTTACTACTAAATATTTTTATAGATAATCTTTCTATAATCTTCCTATAAACTAATCTTTCTATAGATGGTTTTGTATTTAGTGTCTCAATCTCTCTTCAGGTTAGCATCATTTTGTGTAATAAAAAGGCTTAGACCTATATAGACAGCAAGTAATGAATGATGAAATGAAATAATAGGACCCATATCCAGGTTCTGTGGGAGAATGTGGCAGTCCCAGGTGGGTGAGTGGCTCACTGAGTGGGCTGACCAAAGGTGATGCCATCCCTTGGGTAACTACAAAGGCATGTGAAGTCCCCTCCCAGAATCCTAGGCAAATATTTGTTTTCAGCTTAACTAAGCTGCTAAGATTCCCACAGCTCAGTAGAGATGGGACTGCTCACAGGTAGTCATTCTACCATCACCACAGTCAGTCAAGAAAGCTCTATCCTTGCACTGGGAGTTGAAGAGCTAAAACATAACATTTACGTAGCTGTTTTTAAGCTCGGTAGCCTCGACTATTGAACTATTTACTTCAACAAAAATTTCTGAGTGCCCACTTTGTGCAAGGCACTAGGGGAAATACAAAGATAAACAAGTCACAGTCCTTCTCTCAGGGAGCTTACAAACCATTGAGCAAGAGAGAGTTGTTCCTGCTACTGAATGACTCTTGGGTAAACAATGAAATTAAGATAGAAAACAAGAAGTTCTTTGAAACTAATGAGACCAAAGAGACAATGTACCAGAATCCCTGCGACACAGCTAAAGCAGTGTTAAGAAGAAAATTTATAGCACTAAATGCCCACATCAAAAAGCTAGAAAGATCTCAAGTTAACAACCTAACATCACAACTAGAAGAACTAGAGAACCGAGAGAAAACAAACCCTGAAGCTATAGAAGATAAGAAATAACCAAGATCAGAGCTGAACTGAAGGAGACAGAGACATGAAAAACCCTTCAAAAATCAACAAATCAGGAGCTGTTTTTTTTAAAAAAATTAATAGAATAGACTTCTAGCTAGACTAATAAAGAAGAAAAGAGAGAAGAATCAAATAAACACAACCAAAAATGATACGGGGGATATCACCACTGATCCCACAGAAATACAAACAACTATTAGAGAATACTATAAGCACCTCTATGCACACAAATTAGAAAATCTAGAAGAAATGAATAAACTCCTGGACACATACAGCCTCCCAAGACTGAAACAGGAAGAAACTGAATCCCTGAACTGACCAATAACGAGTTCTGAAATTGAGGCAGTAATAAATATCCTACCAACAAAACGAAGCCCAGGACCAGAAGGATTCACAGCTGAATTCTACCGGATGTACAAATAAGAGCTAGTACCATTTCTACTGATACTATTCCAAATAATTGAAAAGGAGGGACTCCTCCCTAACTCATTCTGTAAAGCCAGCACCATCCTAATACCAAAACGTGGCAGAGATACAACAAAAAAAGAAAGCTTCAGGCGAATATCCTTGATGAACATCAATGCAAAAATCGTCAACGAATACTGGCAAACCAAACGTACCAGCACATCAAAAAGCTTATCAACCATGATCAAGTAGGCTTCATCCTCAGGATGCAAGATTGGTTCAAAATAAACACAAATCAATAAATGTGACTCATCATATAAACAGAACTGAAGTCAAAAACCACATAATTATCTCAATAGATGCAGAAAAAGCTTTTGATAAAATTCAACATCTCTTCATGTTAAAAACTCTCAATAAACTAGGTATTGAAGGAACACACATCAAAATAATAAGAGTCATATACGACAAACCCACAGCCAATATCATACTGAATGTGCAAAAACTGGAAGCATTCCCCTTGAAAACTGGCACAAGACAAGGATGCCCTGTCTCACCACTCCTACCCAATGTAGTATTGGAAGTTCTGGCCAGGGCAATCAGACAGAAGAAAGAAATGAAGGGTATTCAAACAGGAAGGGAGGAAGTCAAATTATCTTTGTTTGCAGATGACATGATCCTATATCTAGAAAACCCCATTGTCTCAGCCCAAAAGCTTCTTAAGCTGATAAGCAACTTCAAAATCTCAGAATATAAAATCAATGTGCAAAAATCACTAACATTCCTATACACCAACAACAGACAAGCAGAAAGCCAAATCATGAATGAATTCCCATTCACAATTGCTACAAAAAGAATAAAATATCTATGAATACAGCTAACATGGGAAGTGAAGGACCTTTTAAAGGATAACTATAAACCACTGCACAAAGAAATCAGACAGGACACAATCAAATGAAGAAACATTTCATGCTCATGAATAGGAGGAATCAATATGTTGAAAATGGCCATACTGCTTCAAGTAATTTATATATTCAATTCAATTCCCTTTAAACTACCATTAGCATTCTTCACAGAACTACAAAAAAAAAAATTTAAAATTCATATGGAACCAAAAAAGAGCCCAAATAGCCAAGACAACCCTAAGCAAAAAGAACAAATCTGGAGGAATCATGCTACCCAACTTCAAACTATACTACAAGGGTGCAGTAACCAAAACAGCATGGCACTGGTACAAGAACAGACACATAGACCAATTGATCAGAATAGAGAACTCAGAAATAAGACCACACACCTACAACCATGTGATGTTTAACAAACTTGACAAAAACATGCAATGGAGAAAGGACTCCCTATTTAATAAATGGTGCTAAGAGTGCTGGCTAGCCATATGCAGAAAATTGAAACTGGACCCCTTCCTTATGCCATATACAAAAATTAACTCAAGATGACTTAAAGACTTCAATGTAAAACCCAAAACTACAAAAACCCTTGAAGAAAATCTAGGCAATATCATTCAGGACATAGGCATGGGCAAAGATTTCATAACGAAAACAGCAAAAGCAATTGCAACAAAAGCAAAAATTGACAAATGGGATACAAATCAACTAAAGAGCTTCTGCACAGCAAAATAAACTATCATGAAAGTGAACAGACAACCTACAGAATAAGACAAAATTTTTACAATGTATTCATCTGACGAAGGTCTAATATCCAGAGTCTACAAGGAACTTAAACAAATTTACAAGAAAAAAACAAACAACTCCATTAAAAAGTGGGCAAAGGACATGAACAGAAACTTCTCAAAAGAAGACATACACGTGGCCAATAATAATATGGAAAAAGCTCAACATCACTGATAGAGAAATACAAATCAAAACCACAATGAGATACTATCTCATGCCAGTCAGAATGGCGATTATTAAAAAGTCAAAAAACAGATGTTGGTGAGGTTGTGGAGAAAAAGGAATGCAGTTATGCTGTTGGTGGAAGTGTAAATTAATTCAGCTATTGTGGAAGACAGTGTGGTGATTCCTCAAAAACCTAGAGGCAGAAATACCATTTGACCTAGCAATCACATTACTGGGTATATATCCAAAAGAATATATATCATTCTGTTATAAAGATACATGCATGCATATGTTTACTGCAGCACTATTCACAATAGCAAAGGCATGGAATCAACCTAAATGTCCATTAATGATAGAATGGATAAAGAAAATGTGGTACATATACACCATGGAATACTATGCAGCCATAAAAAAGAATAAGATCATGTCCTTTGCAGAGACATGGATGGATTTGGAAGCCATTACCCTCAGCAAACTAACACAGGAAGAGAAAACCAAACACCACACATTCTCACTTATAAGTAGGAGCTGAATGATGAGAACACATGGACACATGGGCAGGAACAACACACACTGGGGCCTGTTGGGGTGGTGTCAGGGAGAGTGTCAGGAAGAACAGCTAATGCATGCTGGGCTTCATACCTAGGTGATGGGATGATCTGTGCAGCAAACCACCGTGGCACGAACTTACCTATATAACAAAATAGCACATCCTGCATATGTACCCTTGAACTTAAAATCAAAGTTGAAGAAAAAAGAAAAGAGAGTTGTATGTAGTTTATTTTAGTGCCAGACTGAATAAGTGAACTGGAGCATAAAGAAGTAAGAGAGTGCTTCCAACTTAGGAAGATATCAGGAAAGACTAAATAAGGAGGTGTCAAAAATGAGTTGGGATCCTGGGTCTTGAGTCAACAGGATGTCTGCAGTGCTGTGATGCAGTTGTGATTTGGGACTTAATCTGAGAGCATCATTGTCTGGGCTGTACCTATCCTGGCCAAAGACAATGTCAGTATGTATAATTTGGGATGGTCCTGAATTTCTGTGATTAAATGCTACCCTCATTCTAAATGCCTCACTTACCTATACATATGCATTTTTCTTTGGAAAATATGAATCAGTAAAGTATAAATCTAGCAGTGGACAGAAGTCTATATGATATTGTGGTATAAGCAACCAGAACTAATTCATAACTCCAGCTAAATCCAAAATTCTGGGTTGTTTATGTTTTTAATAGCATATTTCAACATAATGTTCATGTCCATGTGCCTACATTCCACCCTCAAATCTAGAAGATTAAAGAACAAGGGAATGTTAAAATTGGAAGGGACTTTGACAATTATTCAATATGTCCCATTGTATCATTTTACAGATGAAGAAACAAGGCCAAAAGAGGGTAAATGCGACTCCCCAAAATTACACTACCACAAAGAGCAAACTCTGAACTTAAACCAAGTTTTTGAATGCAAGTCCCGAAGCTCTTTCTTCTGGATAATACTATGCCGAAATAAATATGTGGAAAAAAAAATCAAAGATAATAAAAAAGAAGTAATGCTTCATAATAAATTGTTATTGGTAATAGATCTAGAATTACCAGTGTTTCTGAAAAAAATTCCAAATAGCTTTTAAGGGATCTCTTTTTCTTAAGATCTTTTCTACTTGGACAAAATATATTGGCTCCCAAAATACAACATATTTCTTTTCAAACTATTTTAATTATGACATTATTTAAACTTTTAAATAACATTTTTAATAATTTTTTAATCTGTCAGATAAAGTAGCCAGGAAACTGGTAAATAGCAAATTACATACCAATGTATAATTTTTGCTTCATCAAAGCAAACATAGGAAATGTTTTTAAAATATGTACTATCTTGCTTTTTCTTAACATTGCACATTCAGAAACATTGTATTATTATTATTATTATTATTATTATTATTATTATTTTATTTATTTTTTTTCTTTTGAGACAGAGTCTTGTTCTGTCACCCAGGCTGGAGTGCAGTGGCGCGCGATCTCGGCTCACTGCAAGCTCCGCCTCCCGGGTTCACGCCATTCTCCTGCCTCAGCCTCCCGAGGAGCTGGGACTACAGGCGCCTGCCACCACGCCCGGCTAATTATTTTGTAATTTTAGTAGAGACGGAGTTTCACTGTGTTAGCCAGGATGGTCTCGATCTCCTGACCTCGAGATCCGCCCGCCTCGGCCTCCCAAAGTGGTGGGATTACAGGCGTAAGCCACCATGCCCGGCCAGAAACCTTGTATTATTAAAGTAGACTGTATTATAAACAGTGCTGCAACAAACACCCGCAAAAAGTAAAAAATAAAAAAATTAGAAATGGAAGAAAAGTAGACTGTTGTGTTTGCTTAGGAGTTCTTCAGCATCTATCACAGTATCTGGCTTATAGAATATACCCAATACATATTTGTTGAATAAATAAATGAATTAATACTATATTGTAATGGAATTCTGCATCAATCTTTGTATGTCACACATTATATCTGATATTTATATGGTAAGTCTGACATATAATACCATCATTTGGATGGATACAAACTTTTACCTACACTTGATTTAAAATCAATTCATCTTTCCCCAAAGTAGACTCCACGATTAAAGGTGTTTCTTTACACCCACCTCGCACTGTAATTAAATCCTAGCTGATAGCAAAAACCTGTTCAGAGAAGAATACTTCTTTTCCTTCTTGCTTTACTCCAACTCATAGGAGGGTTCCAAAGGGGAAACTCATGCCTTACTCCAGGCCCAAATTCCAAGCCCAAGTAAGGACTTCTCCACCAGCCAAGGATCTCAAGTTCAAATCACCAAATGCCTTCCCAACAATGCCCCACAGACATCAAACGGGTTAACTAGCAGACACCCCAGGAATTCTGGAAGCAACTTCTAACCCAGAGGGCTATTTGCAGGGACCTAAAACATGGAGTACATATCAGGAAGAGAAAAGAGACAGAAACTTATAAAGTATTTCAAGATAAATATTAAGACCCTCACTGAAGAAGTTAAAGATACATACTAAATATGAAAGACATTTTTAAATCATGAGTATTTTATTTGACTGTTACGCAGAAGAATTTAACATAGCTCTTATTGTCCTTATCCATTTTATAGAAATGAGAAAAATGCTGTTTTGAAAACTGGTGCCACTGAGGCTTTCCAGTTGATTAAAAAGTAATAAATGGAACCACTACTTCTAATCTTCCTCGGTATGTTTATATAACAAAATTGATGTTATAATAACCTCTAACTCATCTATTTTAATGTCTGCATATTTATGCATCTAACTAGAAATAAAATATTACAAGTTTGGCCATTTTTTTCAGTTATTTGTATATAAAGTACACTTAAAGTATAAAATGGTATTTCCCCTAGTTCCCCTAATGAAGAAATAACCATAAACCAAATATTGTGAAAAATGAAAATTAAAACACAGAAGCAAAAGTTAAGAAGCTGTGTTCTTCCTAAATCTGTTTCTACCCCTGAGTTACTGTGATGCTCCATTTATCTGCACCTCGGTTGTCTCCTTCTGAGAAGCAAAGACCTGAGTCACAGCTACGCAATGGAGAGAAAAAATGGCCAACAGTGGTTTGCAAATTTTGCTAACCTGTTTGGAAGGTTAACTGTGGCTCTCCAAGACCATTTGATGCTCCGTGTCCCAAGTCTAACTCAGAAAGTGACAGCAGCCCCAGGAAGGATGCAGAACATGAGGCAAAGGTCAAAGATGCTGTGCTTTGATGCACAGAATCTGGAATCTCCCCAGGATTTGACCACACCCCGGGAAGGAAGATTGCAGTGACTCCTGAGGGAGAAAAATCCTGATATATAAATTTTGTACTTTTCTAACAAAATTGAATCAGGAACTAAAAGTAATCTGGAAAATTTTAGTCCAAATGAAGAGCTGAAGTCATTCTATCAGGGAATGGAGAAATAACAACGTGCTCATTTTATAAATGTAAGCATGTTTCCTGTTGTGAATATTCTGAGACATCCCATGACTTCCTTTCTGATAGCCAGAAGAAAAAATATCTGCCATAAAATGGTTTAAAAAATAAGAAAAAGGAAAAGAAAAGTACTCAATAATAGCTCTGTATGGAGATCTATATATTAGCATGTAGGATTATCTTAAATAAATTGATCATTTTGTTTGGGGATTTGGTTCTAGATGCAGTTTAAACTTTCACAACACTCTGGAGGATGAATTACACCTTGCTGAGCCTTCCAGCAGATCAGGGAAGTGTATTTGCTCACTGAGTTGCTCCAAGCTTGGTTTGCTTGTTCTTGCATCCACTGTTTACATGAAGAAATCACAGCTAGACAATTTCCCTCAACTACAGTAATTAAATATTTCCATTGAGCTACTGACCTATTTTACTTGAAATTGTGAATATGCCTTACTTTATTTTTAAAAAGTATTTACCACCCTAATTTTAATCATTTTTCTAAACATTTTTCCATGTGTCTTTCCCTTTCTGTTCTTATTTTTCAAATTTCCCCTTTTCTCGTTTTAACATTTTATTTCTTTGTCCATTTTCTAAGCAGTTAAAATGAAAATGTTTTCATATGATTGTTGTGGAAAACAAGGGACTGAGAATGTGAAGGACCATTTGGTTCTCAGCTGATGTTCTCAAAGTTAAACTTTCATAGTACCTCACGAGGAGGCTCTACATATGGTCCCAGAGATATGCTTACAATATTTTAAGAAGACATTTATCTCACAACTTTAAGCTTGTTTCACACTTTCTGATCACACCTCCCCTGGTGTACTATGAACAAATATTCTTATGTAAATCCTATAATTTCCCATAAATAACAAAATTAAAATGCATTGTAACTTTTCTGTCAAAGGGGCTAATTTGTTAAATGTAAGTGTATAAGATTATCACACATGGTATAATCCTGCTTGGACATTTCATCATTCGTAACTATACTGAGAGCCTCAGGAAGCCTCTCTGACCTTTGAGAAAAGCTGGCCTCAGATTACAACAAATGTGCAACTCCTGAACATGTCTCATGCCACAGATGTCTGTATCTCACCTTTTACGCTCTAGCAGTTCTTTTTTTTTTCTTTTTGAGATGGAGTCTCGCTCTGTCTCCCAGGCTGCAATCTCAGCTCACTGCAAGCTCCACCTCCCGGGTTCCTGCCATTCTCCTGCCTCAGCCTCTGGAGTAGCTGGGACTATGGCACCCGCCACCACGCCTGGCTAATTTTTTTGTATTTTTAGTAGAGATGAGGTTCCACCGTGTTAGCCAGGATGGTCTCGATCTCCTGACCTCGTGATCCACCCGCCTCGGCCTCCCAAAGTGCTGGGATTACAGGTGTGAGCCACCGCGCCCGGCCTACACTCTACCAGTTCTAAACCGTGTAACGTTCTCTCAACGTGACAAGTGCTCTCGTGCTCCTGCACATGCTCCCTCTGCCTTAAATACCCCTCTCTGCTTTGTCCTATTCCTCCCTCAAGTGTGAGTCAGCACAACTCCGCCTTCTCTGTGTCACTTTGTCTGATTAATCCCCATATTCATTCATCTACAATGTGCCAGGCACTATGCTAGCTGCTGAGTTGGAAACAATGAAAACCCTGCACTTGCCCTCAAGATACATGATGTATTAGCACAGTGGTCAAAACAAGGGACACTGGGAACCTTTTGTGATGAGGGTCAGGAAGAGGTTTGGGGAAGTCTTCCAGGAGGAGGTAATAGCTGAATCAAAATGTGAAAGATAAGTAGGAATTATCCAGGAGAAGAAAGGACAGAGAGAGGGCATTCAAGACAAAACCTGTGATGAAGCAAGGGTAGGACAGGGAATATTCATTGAGAGGTAAATATTCCATTTAAGGGAGTTTTGATTTTATTTTTTTCCTGAACGCAATGGAGAGCCTTTTAAGTAAAAGAATGAGATGGTCATATGTGTGTTTTAGACAGTGTAGATAGAGATCAGATTGGAGAGACCAAGGATGGGGCAGTTAGCAGGCTTATTTGTAAAGGAGAGGACATATATGTATTTAGTATGAGAAGAAGATGAAATTTGAGAACTTGAGAGAGATAAATGAGTTATAATTGACAGGTCTTCGTGACTGATTGGTGTACAAGGGCAAAAGAGAGTCAAGAGGGAACCCCTAAGTTTCTCTCTCTTCTTGCTGGGATGGAAGATGGGGCTTCATTGAGATCAGGAACACAGAAGGAGGAGCAAGAAGTAATCAGTTGAGTTTGAACCTGTTGAATGAGGCCCGTATAAATAGGCCTGTAAAATGTCCAAGTTGAGAGATAAGTGCTCTCTCATCTATGCACCCATTACTCCATCATATTATCCCATGTACCATGCTGGGATTGTCTATCTCCACCTCTGATTTTCCCCAGGAAGGGCTCTCCAAGATAAAAACCTCCCCTTCAGATTGTCTTCAACCAGCCAGTGCTCCCCCATAACAAACAAGGCTCTCCCACTTTTCCTCTTTCTCTCAAAGGCCACCATTAGAGCAGTGCTAACTCACTGAGAAATATCCTGCAAAGACTAGAGCCCATCACCCCTTCTAGAGAAAGCAAAACATGGAACAAAGAAGGAAAGGCTTCTTTTTTTTTCTTCTATTCTATTAGCCCCCTCATTTTCAAAGGCACCATTGTTTCAGGAGAACTGAGTATTTTTTAAAATAAATAAAGAAGTGAATACAATCTTAAGATTCCAACTTATTAACAGAAAACATGTGTAGACCTAAGAATTAAAAATAAATATGTCTTTAAAGATGACCTGGAAGGCTTTTTGTCTGCCAAGAACAGAGTTAAAGACCTCAGAAGGTCTATGTTTTCCCAGAAATACTAGATTACATTGCTAATGATGGGCAAAGGCATTAAATCATGCAGATTCCCCTGCAATTTTATTACTATTTAGGTGAGTTTTATAATGTCCTGAAATAATGGAAGAAATCTTGAGACTGATCTTGGGTTGTGGTTGTGGATATTGAATCTATGGTTTCATCTTTTGGACAAATGTTTCCAGTTCCTACTTTTATGTCCAGATATGTATATTTGAGATGAGTTCTTCTCATGTTTGAATTATATTTTAGTGATCTTGGTTGTGTTGGTATACAAAATATGAATTCATTTTTAGAGCATTTTCCATCAGATATATTTTATGTCAATTGAGTATTTCTAGCGAAGAGTACAGTTCTTCCTTCAATGTTCTTATTTGTTCAAAATTACAGGAAGATTTCTGAAAGTTGTTAAGAATCAACAGGGGAATCACTAGCTGCAAAACGTCTCCAAACGGACCAGAGTGAGTTGCAGAACCAGAAGCAGCTCGGCTTGCTAAGGAGAAATTGATGTTGTCCTCAGCACTCATTGACTTGTCTGGTTTTCACATGACAAATAAACAGATGAATCAGTTCCTCCTTTTTCTAAGAGATTTTACATGCTTAAGGTCAGAAATTAACCAAAGAAAAACCGGTTTTATAAGTATGAGCTGACTAGATGCCACAGTGATTCATTTCAAAGGTGCTGGCTATTTTCAAACTGCTGAGAGACCTTGCCATTCCCTGAACTTGGGAGGCTTGTTCTAGCACATGCACATATTCAGCTTGCTATATGAGCAAAAGTGAGATCATACGGGTTGATCCTGGCAGAGTCTCTGAAAATGCAGTAATTCATGCTGTCAGTTACTATCAGCAGCAATTTGCTTCTGGATTGGTTCCTGTAAGCACTCATGTGAGCATTCTGCACAAAGGACCAGAGTACAATATTCTCTTGGATTTCAGGGACTTAGTGTGGTTTCAACATATAATCAAAAGTGCCACATAGTTCACCACCTCGCATTTTGTTTTAAAGAGACAGAGGCTTAAAACTGGATTCCTTTCTTTTTTTCCCAAAATAGGAAGTTGGTGGTAATTTGGAATGTATCTTTAGAGCAATCTGTTAGCACTTCAGCAAAATCTACTCCGTTGGTAAAGTGCAGAGTAGATTTTTTAATGAGGGATAATTTCACCATCTCTAAAATTAATAATAATAATCATAATAATAAATTTGCTCAATCACAAAACTAAACTTCTTAGATTCAACTCACATGTGTGACCAACTCTTACTTTAGGGCAAATGCATTAAGACATGAAAAGTTATTTGAATTCTTAAGTATTATAATAGCATATACTCCCAGTTTGGTACAATTTCCAAAAAGTTCTATGACAGAGAAATTTAGATGATGCAGTCCTAAGCTTAAAGGCACATTATTAAAGAATCTCTGCAAAACAATGTAATTCCATTGAGCTCCAAATTATTTAAGAAAGCAGTAGCAGCCTCACTACCAATTTACTGCTCTACTAATTTAATTAACACCATTGAGAACTCATGCGATACAGGGTTATGAAAAGGTCCTTATCAGAAGGGGCTCAGGAAGAAAGAAAAGCCAGTCCTTGTGACTGACAAACTTTTAGTTTAGTTTCACTCAGAAAAGTGAAAGTATGCCAAAATCTCAAGTGGCATTGTCAAAAATATACATATTCTTTGGTGTTAACCTGTGACTTCTCAAGTGTTACCAGTTGAAAAATTGCTTCCATATTGCATCAAACTCAAAAATCCTCAAAAACTTGGCATCTTACCTAAGAATTTCTTAGTTTGCTATCTACCTTGCCCCCTAGAATGTAGACAGAATGAAGGTGGGGACTTCTGTCTGTTCACTGATGTATTCCCAGTGCCTAAAACAGTGCATAGCACATAAGGCACTTCATAAAGTTTTGCTGAATTAATGAATAAAAGTTGTCCTTTTCCTCAGCCTAAAATCTTCAGCAAAGCTTATCTGTAATCAGCTCCTGCTCCTTTCTCTAGACTGCCTTCTCTTTTATCACTTTATCTCTTGAACTATACACTTCAGCCAAATGCAAATTATTGGCAGTTCCCCAAATGTACCACATTCTCTCTCTCTCCGAAGGCCTTTGCACATGTTCCTCTGTGTAGAAGACTTTTCTGTCTTGTCCTCCTATTCCCTGGGCCTGGGAAAATTCTCTTTGTCCTTCAGATCACAGTTTAGAAACCTCTTATTTCAGAAAGCCTTACCTAGCCTCCAAAATAGAGCTAGACGAGCCCTTAGCTCCCTGTAATTTCCGCTATGGTAGCACTTACCCACTTGGACTATTATTGCTGCAAGGAAATAACATTACTAGAGGCGGAATGATGTTTGTGAAATTATACATCAGCAGTTGCACTTCAAACAGGACCTCATAAAGGAATTAACTCTGTACTCTTAGTGCTGGAATAGGAATATTTAAGAAAAATAACCAGGATGTATTAGAAAAGCATCACAAAAGTTTGAGCAAACTAACACATATTTAAACATACTGCTCTATCTCACTGAGTGGAAGCATCACTCTAGTCTAACCACTAAAACAAAAACATGCATGGCATCCATGTGAAACACTAACACACATTGTTCCATAGATAGTTGCTTCATGTCATTCAGGTCACAGCAACAACGTCACGCTTTTAGAAAGGACATCACTGACCAACGTTGTGTAAAGTTACCCCAATTAATTTATAGCCCATTGCCCTGTTTACCATCTAAATTACATGTCTATCTCTTTGAGATGCTCTCAATCATTTATGTGTTTACTAGTTTATTTTCAATTCTCCATACTAAATAATAGTTTCTATAACAGCAGGGATCTTGTTTGTCTTATTTAGTTCTTTATACCTCCAGAGCCTAAATGAGTCCTTGGCATTCAGTAGATACTCGATAATTTTTTTTAATGCATGTGAAACAAGGAACCTCAAAATCAAAGTAATTTCCATCTTGGCCAGTAGGGTACTTTCACTGGCACTGGTTGCCCAGAACTGAAAGTCCCTTGTACTTCATGCAAAATTCACATGTACTAACCGGCCAACTGATGAGTTCTGTCCAATGACAAACTATTATAGTGTAGTACACTGACTTCATTTAATTGCATGTACTATTTTATAAGTAGCTTATATTACATTTTCTTAGTATACTATTAGAATACCAATAATAAAAATAAGAAAAATCTATGTCTTCTAAATTTAAAAACTTCAGTTGCTTTTCTTCTGGATTAGTTTAAAAAATCTGAAGTTAAATATGTTTTCATATATATTAGAAAATCTAGTAAAAAGTATTGTATACCTATTACCTTGATAAAAATTATTAATATCAGTTTGCCTAGATAAATCTGAAATGAATACAAAAAGATTGAGGAGGAAAGCTTTTGATTTCATTAAAGATTGAAAAGAAAACCTTTAAATATATTATTTGCTGAAATGTTAGAATACCACACAAATACTATTTTGGGGACCAATCACACAGAGATTGTACATGGTTAGGCCTCATTAATTCTATGGCAACACTACTATAAAAACACATTTTTACTTATTTTGATTGGTTAGAAAAGACATTAACAAGATTACAAATCATGAGCCAGAAGCTAGAAAGAGAGAGTATACAACTGTATCATTTCTAAAAATTCTTAAAACAAAGTAGAACAAAAAAACAGTGCCAATATTAAACTACTAATTCTAACCAAGGAGGGAAACCTATAAAACTAAAATTGTAATCTGTGTCTGCACATTAAACCTTTATCATCCAACTAGTGGTAGACTTGTCATACAGAGGATTCTGACTGGACTTTCCTTCCCCACATAAGCAAGAGGGCGAACTCCTCCTGTCTGCGGAGGAGTGGAAGAATGATTGCAGCGCCCAGCGCAGGACCTTGTTCACAGCTACTCAACAAATATCTGTCTAATGATTGTTTCATGGACTAATTGTGAAAATTGGAGAATATCCTTCATAGCAGTAACTTGAACTAGAAGTGTGGCCCAAGAAGAATCAGAACTGGAATTCCCTTAATGGAAATGGACCAGACAACCAGAAAGAAGGAAACTGGCAAGTTTGGGCAGCCCAAAGAGGCTCCTGGGAATCTCAACATCTCTTTGCACAGCTTCCTCCATGTTGTGCTTGATAGGAGGACCTTCCTCAGATTCTTTATCTTCATGAAATTAAAAGTGAAAACTCTGGGTTCAAGACTCATGTGTCACTTAACAAGTAGATGACTTAAAAAATAAGTTCAGGCCGGGCGCGGTGGCTCACACCTGTAATCCCAGCACTTCGGAAGTCTAAGGCGGGAGGATCACACGGTCAGGTGATCGAGACCATCCTGGCTAACACGGGAAAACCCCGTGTCTACTAAAAATACAAAAAAATTAGCCGGGCGTGGTGGCGGGCGCCACCTAGTCCCACCTAGTCGGGAGGCTGAGGCAGGAGAATGGTGTGAACCCGTGAGGCGGAGCTTGCAGTGAGCCGAGATGGCGCCACTGCATTCCAGCCTGGGCGACAGAGACTCCGTCTCACAAAAAAAAAAGAAAAAAAAAAGTTCATTTATCTGAGATTCAGATTCCTAAGCTAATATAATGATAAAAATAATACCCCAAACATCAAACAGAATGTTTTATGTTCAAAAGAGGAAGTTATAAGAAAACCTCGATATAATGTAAATTACTACCACATGTACCAAATAGTTACCAATCCTTTAGATACTGTCATAACATCTATCTGTTTATTTACATTTTTCAGAATTTCTGGTATTACTACATGAGGGTATTCCAATTGGGTTACTCTATTATGTATTTTGCTCCAAATGTTAAACTTTCAAGTTTCAATTAAGCTCCTTGTAAGTACCATTATTCTGATGACAGTTCTTTGTGTACTTTTTGCAAATTGTTTACATTATATGTCAGAGTACAAAAATATTTGATAGTTATGAGGACTATACCCCGGACTCTTGCAAAGTCTCACAACTGCAAATAATATGATGGCATAGAGTTCCTGCTCCTTTACATGAAACATTATATCCAATTTAACATCTCACTTTTTCTAGTTCCAGTGCAGTAGATCTTAGTTGCTTTTTGTGGTCACCCAGAATATTTTGAACATCTTTCCCATGTTTGGGGAGTCTCAGCCTTTGTAGTCAAGCCGCCACAAAGCAGAAGTTGGAAATTCACCTTCCCAGCCAGTCGGTATCTATGCCAGAGGTAGGATGTAGATCTAACAATAAGAAATACCCATATGCAACATGGACTTGTAAGAGAATACTGTGGCTTCATTACCAGGAACCACCTAACATTTATTTTCTCATGAGCATAGTGGCATATGTGCCCAAAATTTGGGGGCAGCCATGGTAGAAATCTTGGCATCCATTGACCAGACTCAGCAGTGGAAGTTATGGTATCTGTGTCCAGAAATGGTGGGAGTGAGGCTTTTGCTAGAGCAATCAGTAGTGTCATTTAAGCGTTGTTCCTGGAAGCATGGCCTCTAAGCTCAATGTTCTGGCTCTCCTAGAGGATCTATAAACTACATGATATCCTACAATAAATTTATTTTCTGTTTAAACTAACTAGAGAGGGATCTGTTTGCAACTCAGAAAACTGACTCATATATCTAAGAATTATTGTTCTCCCTCTGTCTTTTAATTTATTCTGAAATATTTAAGACATGTACAAAGGCCACTTCCTGGAACCTTTCCACATACCTCCAACACTAGAAGTAGCAGCTGGCCTTCTTTTGCGGAAAGTTATTCACACTTTAGACAAACTGCATATTATTACAATTGCATATTGCCATATACCATGTATATTTGAAATCACTACTGAATAATCTAGAATGTTATATTCAATAATCCCAATGGTCTGGACTGTCAGGCTTCTGAACCCAAGCTAAGCCATCATATCCCCTGTGACCTGCACGTATACATCCAGATGGCTGAAGTAACTGAAGAATCACAAAAGAAGTGAAAATGGCCTGTTCCTGCCTTAACTGATGACATTCCACCACAAAAGAAGTGAAAATGGCCAGTCCCTGCCTTAACTGATGACATTACCTTGTGAAATTCCTTCCCCTGGCTCATCCTGGCTCAAAGGCTCCCCAACTGAGCACCTTGTGATCCCCGCCCCTGCCAGCCAGAGAACAACCCCCTTTGACTGTAATTTTCCTTTACCTACCCAAATCCTATAAAACAGCCCCACCCCATCTCCCTTCACTGACTCTCTTTTGAGACTCAGCCTGCCTGCACCCAGGTGATTAAAAAGCTTTATTGCTCACACAAAGCCTGTTTGGCGGTCTCTTCACACGGATGTGAGTGAAATTTGGTCCCGAAATTTGGTGCCGTGACTCGGATCAGGGGCGTGGGGGGGTGGGGACCTCCCTTGGGAGATCAATCCCCTGTCCTCCTGCTCTTTGCTCCGTGAGAAAGATCTACTTACGACCTCTGGTCCTCAGACCAACCAGCCCAAGGAACATCTCACCAATTTTAAATCGGGTAAGCACCCTCTTTTTATTCTCTTCTCCAACCTCTCTTTCTATCCCTCAACCTCTTTCTCCTTTCAATCTTGGCGCCACACTTCAATCTCTGCCTTCTCTTAATTTCAGTTCCTTCATTTTCTGGTAAAGACAAAGGAGACACATTTTATCCATGGACCCAAAACTCTGGCGCTGGTCACGGACTTGGGAAGACAGTCTTCCCTTGGTGTTTAATTATGCAGGGACACCTGCCTGATTATTCACCCACGTTTCATTGGTGTCTGATCACCGCCGGGACGCCTGCCTTGGTCATTCACCCACATTCCCTTGGTGGCAAGTCAATTGCAGGGACGCCTGCTTTGGCTGCTCCCCACCCCTTCTCTCCATGTCTCTACCCTCTCTTTTCTCTGGGCTTGCCTCCTTCACTATGGGCAACCTTCCACCCTCCATTCCTCCTTCTTCTCCCTTAGCCTGTGTTCTCAAAAACTTAAAACCTCTTCAACTCACACCTGACCTAAAACCTAAATGCCTTATTTTCTTCTGCAACACCGCTTGGCCCCAATACAAACTTGACAATGGCCCTAAATGGCCAGAAAATGGCACTTTCGATTTCTCCATCCTACAAGACCTAAATAATTCTTGTCGTAAAATAGGCAAACGGGCTAAGGTGCCTGACGTCCAGGCATTGTTTTACACATTGGTCCCTCCCTAGTCTCTGTTCCCAATGCAGCTCATCCCAAATCTTGCTTCTTTCCCTCCCACCTGTCCCCTCAGTCCCAACCCCAAGCGTCGCGGAGTCTCCAATCTTCCTTTTCTACGGACCCATCTGACCTCTCCCCTCCTCCCCAGGCTGCTCCTCGCCAGGCCGAGCCAGGTTCCAATTCTTCCTCAGCCTCTGCTCCTCCACCCTATAATCCTTTTATCACCTCTCCTCCTCACACCCAGTCTGGCTTACAGTTTCGTTCCGCAACTAGCCCTCTCCCACCTGCCCAGCAATTTCCTCTTAAAAAGGTGGCTGGAGCTAAAGGTATAGTCAAGGTTAATGCTCCTTTTCCTTTATCCAACCTCTCCCAAATCAGTTAGCGTTTAGGCTCTTTCTCATCAAATATGAAAAACCCAGCCCAGTTCATGGTTCGTTTGGCAGCAACCCTGAGACGCTTTACAGCCCTAGACCCTGAAAGGTCAGAAGGCCGTTTTAGTCTCAATATGCACTTTGTTACCCAATCCGCTCCCGACATTAAATAAAGCTCCAAAAATTAAATTCCAGCCCTCAAACCCCATAATAGCACTTAATTAACCTCGCTTTCAAGGTATACAATAATACAGTTGAGGCAGCCAAGTAGCAATGTATTTCTGAGTTGCAATTCCTTGCCTCCACTGTGAGACAAACCCCAGCCACATCT